>NT_187668.1:0-205194 GCF_000001405.40 Homo sapiens | reverse complement strand
GAATTCCCCATGAGTCCTGTGACCTCAGCCCACACGGGGACCTACAGGTGCTACGGCTCACTCAGCTCCGACCCCTACCTGCTGTCTCACCCCAGTGGCCCCGTGGAGCTCGTGGTCTCAGGTGAGGGCGCTGACCCTGTCCTCTCTGAGCTCAAAGGCTCAGCTCAGGCCCTGCCCCCAGCAGAGCTCTGGACACTAAGGAAAGAGGGGAGTGAAGGGAGAGGGTCCGCAGGGGAGGGTCCAGCCCATGGGAAGATGGAAATAGACAGGGACCTCCCACCCCTGGCTCCCACCCCTGAAGTCTCAGTAGAGTAAAGTGCAGGGAGGGCTGGGAGGAGACGGGGGGTGAACCTCAAAGGAGTTGAGATTAGACTGAGGGTGGAAGACGGAGGCCCCACCTGCTCCCATCCTGGTGTCTCCACCTCAGAATCAGAGCCTCTGTGTCCCAGTCCCCAACAGACGCCCTCCTGGAGAGAGAAGCATCCAGGCTGCCGGTGCCACCTGCATCCACCCCCGACCCCCCCCCACCCCGCCCCACTTCCTGCTTTCCCCTGCAGCCTCCCCAGCACTCAGCGCACACCTGAGCCTCACAGGGACTTGCACGTGCTCCCGCAGCAGCTCAGGGAATGTGCACCGCTCCTCTTCTGCGCCGTTGACATTTTTTATTTGGGTTTTTAAAATCTCATATTGGCCTTTTTGTCCAAGCTGGTGAAAGTAGATTTGCAGCATCACCTATTTTTATTCTCACCCGGTTTCGTAATAGCCCTGATCTCACGTGCTCCCTGAGGTTTTGTAAACTTCAGGTAGAAATGTGGACTTCCTTCGTTCTGGACATTTGCTATGGAGGGGGTAGGGCTTATCTTTTCAGAAAAAGTCAAATGACTGGTACCACTCCTTGAAACCCTACAGCACTTTCCAGACCTCAGAGGGAGGGAGAGAGAGGCAGAGACAGAGACAGAGAGACAGAGAGAGAGATATTGGGGCCGCTCTTTCCTGGCCGGTTCATCCTGGCCTATTCTCAATCCACCAAGGCCCCGAAGCTCATCTCCCCTCCTCCTCTGCCTCCTCCTCCACCCTGTAGACAAGCGGCCATTCCTTTCTGAAGAACAGGCTGAGACCTTTCTGGGACCTGCTCTTTCTGGAGCCTCTGTTGCTCCCTGTCTGGGTCTCCACACGCCTCCTTCCTGGCCCTTTTTCCTATTGAGGAATCAGCTTCAATGTCACCTCCAAGTGTGACCTTCACTGACGACACAGCTCAGCCCAGTCCTGCCTGCTTCTCATTTATGTCAAGTAATTAACCAACCTACACCATGCGGCTGAATTCCTTCTCTCTCTCTTCCACTCTCTGCATATACGTGTGTGTGTGTGTGTGCGCGTGTGTGGTCACACCAACATCTTACGTGACATTGAAACCTAGTTATCCGTATATCTATACAAATAATATATATTCACACATAAATATAGGTCTCTACCAATATATCTAAAACCATTGCTACGACTAGTAAATTTCCACTGCTGTGTTTCTATATGTTTGCTGTTTGTCTCCAGGTGAACCCACACTTCAAGAAGGCAGAGATAGTTTTTAAGGCCCACTATATATATAAAACAGATATATATTTGTGTTTGTGTTTTTCTGTGTGTGTATCACATTCTACCTGTTGCTGCCTATACGAATAATTAGCTACCTAGAGATTAAATGGACAATGAAACTCCAGGTGAAGTGGCTGAGGGCATGAAGGGGAGGCAGCCCCAGAATTTCACCCCTTTGTGCTTCTGACATTGAGGCTCCCCTGATGACTAACCCTCATCCACGGAGCCTGGGTCCTCAGCTGGTGGATCCGTGAAACTCTCATCTCCGGGGGAGTTGGCTCATGTTCTCCTGTGTCCCAGGCTGCACAGAGAGCACACAGGCCTTAGTGACCTCTGTACTGGGGACCACTTTCCTTGCAGATCCTGAGCTCTCAGGATGCAGGAAAACTCTCTCCCAGATGACTCAGGAGCAATGTTTAAATCCATAGAACACAGGAAAACTGAAATCGTTCAATGAGGAGACTAGAGGGAATCCTGCTAGCGGAGGAAGAGGTTTTTTTTTTTTTTTTTTAGAAATTCTGTAAAAGTCACATCATGAGACATTAAGTAATAAAAAAAAAATTGCAGAGCCCAGGTGAGAGGCTGGGCTCAGGTCTCTTTTTCTCTGTTTTGATTCTCTGGAGCAGCTGATACCCTCAGCCCATCACAAAACAAGTCTGACTCTGAGACTGGTATGTGAGGAGATACTCTCAGTGATGGGGCTGGCACTGAGGGTTGGGTCCTGTGAAGGGGAGGTGGGTGCCCTGGGTGGACAATCTGATCCACCCTGACCTCTGTGACCTCTTTGTCCACCATCCCCAGCCTCACACCTTCAGGATTACGCAGTGGAGAATCTCATCCACATGGGCGTGGCTGGCTTGATCCTGGTGGTCCTCGGGATTCTGTCATTTGAGGCTTGGCACAGCCAGAGAAGCTTCCCAAGATGCAGCCGGGAGGTGAACAGCAGAGAGGATAATGTACTTTATAGAGTCGTGAAGCCTCAGGAACAGATCTGATGATCCCAGGAGGTTCTGGAAGAAAATCTAGGGCCGATGCTATCTGGACTGTCTGCTGGTCATTTCCAGAGGAAGGAATCAATGTCCGAGTGCAGGGACATTTTCTGGGGTGATCCATGGAGAACCATTAAAATGTGATACCTTTCCTCTCCATTAATGTTGACTTTCCTTGGTTGGATCTGCCTCTTTTCCCACACTTAGACATGAGGCTCCATCCCACATGGCAGCGTTGGGTCCACACCTCTGCACACCTGCATGCTCTGGTCCATGGCGTGTCACACAGTCCTCTTCATTTCTCATTGCCACACTTCCTGGTGTACTTTACTGGGTCTTCATGTCTTCAGTTCAGAGTTCCGCACCTGGTTTAGGAACTAATTCAACGGGAGAAGATCAGAGTCCGACCAGGAAAAGATAAATGCACCGTGATGCCCTCACCTCCTGTGTGGACCCTATGAGCTCTTCCCTCCTTATCAGATGCTATCTGTGTAGTTTCTCCTGAAATATCACCACCTGGAATCAACACACTGGCATTTGAAGTCACGACCCAATGGTATGCTAATTCTGAAAAAGACATTTTTTGAAATGCTATGATTAGTGGCATTTACCAATTTCCTTGACGTAAATTCTTTTTTCATGGCCATAATCAAGATGCCAACGAGACATCCCTGAATGCAGGGTTGGGAAGCGTTGGACAGACTTGTCTTCACTCATAAGCACCAGGCATCTGATAGCTCACGTATACATCTTATTACCTTCCATTTTAGAGTGAATAATCATTTCTACTTCAGTATTTTGGCACAGGTAAAAGCAGTCCCATTACTGCGCGTATACCCAAAGGAATATAAATCATTCTATTGCAAAGATACATGCACACATGTGTTCATCGCAGCACTATTCACAATAGCAAAGACATAGAATCAACCCAAATGCCCATCAATGATAGACTGGATAAAGAAAATGTGAGACATATACACCACGGAATACTATGAAGCCATAAAAAGAAACAAGATCATGTCCTTTGCAGGGACATGGATGGAGCTGGAAACCATTATCCTCAGGAAACTAACACAGGAACAGGAAATCAAACGCTGCATGTTCTCACTTACAAGTGGGTGCTGAACAATGAGAATGCGTGAACACAGGGAGGGGAACAACACACACTGGGGCCTGTCGGGGGGGGGGTGGGGTAGGGGTAGGGAGAGCATTAGGAAAAATAGCTAATGTATGCTGGGCTTAATACCTAGGTGATGGGTTGACAGGTGCAGGAAACCACCATGGCGCACATTGACCTATGCAATAAGCCCACACATTCTGCACATGTACCCCGGAACTTAAAATAAAAATAAAAATTAAAATTAAATTATGACACCATGATCCTAGCATATCCAAAAAAGACAAAAATGCCAATATCAAATGTCGGAGAAAATAGGGCTGAATTAAAAATCCAATACAACGCCGGGCGCAGTGGCTCACGCCTGTAATCCCAGCACTTTGGGAGGCCAAGGTGGGTGGATCACTTGAAGTCAGGAGTTTGAGACCAGCCTGGCCAAACGTGGTGAAACCCTGCCTCTACTAAAAATACAAAAATTAGCCGGGTGTGGTGGCACTCGCCTGTAGTCCTAGCTACTAGGGAGGCTGAGGCAGGAGAATCACTTGAACCCGGGAGGCGGAGGTTGCAATGAGCTGAGATCATGCCACTGAACTCCAGCCTGGGTGACAGAGCGAGACTCCGTCTCAAAAAAAAAAACAAAAAAAAAAAACCCTCAAAAGCTCAGGCAGCAAAAGCAAAAATAGGCAAATGAGATCATAGCAAACTGCAAACCTTCTGCACAATCAAGGAAACAAACAGCAGAGTGAAGAGACCACCTACAGAATGGGAAAGAATATTTGCAAGCAAGAGATTAATCTCCAGAAAATACAAGGAGCTCAAACAATGCAGAGGTTTTGAAGGATGGTGATGAGAAGGTTCTGCTACTTACAGAAAGGAAGTTTAGGAGAAACAAAACCACAAACCTAGGTGGTGGGATGGCTTGATCTGCTTCTGTCTGTGACTCACTTAACAGTCTTAAACACATCTCCCTAAGCCTCCTTCCCCCGGTGGGATTCCTGGGTCTTGTGAGGACCTCATCGGTCCCTCTGGTAAACCCAGGCACAGAGTGGAGCAGCTCTTGTTTTCTCAGGATCTTCCCCTTCACATACAATTAACGCACCCACACGATGCTACTCTTAGAACCCTTCAAATAAATGTTTCCCGGTTCATTCACTACCAGAATCCAAGCTCAGCTTGTTCCCCAGCTTAGGACTGAGTGGTATCTTGGAGGTAGTTTCCACCATAGCCCCCTTCCTCTGCTATAAGGCTCAGTGACACACCAGAGACACCCCCTCCAGCCAGGCTCCTGGAAGGTCTGGATGAAGACTGGGATGCTGAGGCATTGCTCAGCAATGTGGCTTAACTCAAACTTCTATGTGAAACTTCCAACCACTTTCAGCAAGGGGTCACTTCCAGCGTCTTGGGGTGTGAGGGCACTTTGGTTGGTCCCTGCAATATCAGACCCTATAAAGATCCTACAAACATGTTGCAGACTCTTTGAAGATTCTGGCACTTTCAGACATGCTGTTGGGAAATGGTGACACCCATAACCTTCTAGTTCCAGGACAGGGAGCCTTAGCCCAGGGCTATGTTTTCTGAGGGTCCTCAAAGTAAACAGTTCTATGTGCCAGGAGAACCCTAAATCTCATATGGTTCTAAGGGCAGAAAGCCACACACGCACCGGCAAAAAGCAAGAGATTCAAGGAAAAGCTGAGCAAAGACAGACAGGAAAACACACACATGATGAGCCAGCTTGTAGAGCTAGAACTGAGATGGAGAGAGGCACGAGTGGGTAACAGAGTGTGCTCCCCAGAACAGGTGGAGAGAATGCCTTTTTCATGCCCTGAGGATAGGCTGGGTAAGGCTTGTGCTCGACAGTCAAGGACTATTTTTTTCCCCAGGCGTCTACAAGAGACCTTCCTTCTCAGCTCAACTGTGCCCTGCAGTAAGTAATGATGGAGAGAATGTGACTTTGCTCTGCAGCTCTGGAAGCTCATTTGACCTGTGCCTTCTAACGAGGAAGGTAAGGCCCCTGGACACTGGCTCACTGGGGTGCAGAGACAGAGTGGGGCATTCAGGCCAACTTCTCTCTGGGTCTTGGGGCTGGTGATGGGACCTCTAGATGCTGCAGCTCTCTGTCGATGGCTCTGCCTGTGAGTGATCAGCCCTAGATGACCACTGTTACTGGGGGTAGCCCATGCCTGCTGCATGCCCTGTGAAACACTAAATCATATAGCCACGTCTGAGGGACAGCCTGCTGGAGACATGGGAATCTTAGGGATTCCAGACAAAATGAAGCAATGAGAAACACAAAGAGGAAAAGAGAGGTTGAGTATGACAGTGGTGTCAGGGTGTAGGGTGGTAGACAGGGCAGCTCCACACTCTCCACTGCTTCCTGTCTGGAGGCCCACTTTGGGGTCCTACTTATCCAGGTGAGTGAAGGAAGAGGTCAGGACAAACACAGGAGGTGAAGCCAGATACAGTGTGGGGAGATAAGCAGTGGCCTCAGCCTCTAGCCCTTTTCCATCTTCCAGAAGCCCCTCCTGAGCTCTCATCACAGACAGATTTCCCATTTGGAAACCCAGATATTTATCATGCCGGGGGGGGGAGGCAATGTCTCTTGATTATGGGGACTTTCCATCACCAGGCACCTGCTAGTCCTCTCTATACCTTCCCTTCAGGAAAGGAATTGTCCCTCATGGGATTCCAGGGAAGAGACCCCAGGACCCCTATCAGTCACTAGGGAGATGACAGAGTAGAGGAAGTCAGGGGACCAACCCTCCACAGAGAATGGTCCTACTTCAGTGGGGTGAGGGAAACTCTCACTCATCCATTTGCTGTCCTGTTACCTCGGAACCCTAAGAGAACTTGTTAGTCACACACAGAATCTACCCCTGAATGTGGTGTGCAAAGTGGGGCTCTTAGCCTCCAGTGTGAAGTCCCTGGGAAGATGGAATGTCCCTGTGTGAGTGAAGGCTGTGCCACCGCCCAGCTATGTGGCCTTGGGCTAGGCAACCCCTCCCAGGTCCCCAGTTCCCCATCTGCATCGGAGACTGTGGCCAGTGCGGGAATCCACAAGGCCCTTCAGCCTCCAAAGCTCTGGGACAGAGGCCTCGTCCACAGGGAGGAAGGGGTCAGAGTGACCTGAGTCCCTACTCAGGAGCGAGTCTAATCCACTCTCCATCGGGGCCTGTGGGGAAGGGAAGATGAAGAAACGGAGCCTGCACCTGGCTATGTGGGCGCAGTAGATTAAGGGGAGGATGAGGGTTCCTGAGAGTGTGTCATGTGGCAGAGACCCTGCAGCACACTCAGGAAGGGCTCTGGAAGGATCCAAGGAAATTTTCCAAGAAGAGGGCAGAGTAAGTGACAGAGACCCTCAACCATGGATTTCACTGAGGTGCCCATGATGACATAGGGAGAACGGGGGTGTCTGGGCAGGAAGAATATCGTCAGGGTGAAATGAATGGTGATGAGCTTCGTGTCAGAGCTCCTGTGGAGGGAGGGGCCTGGCCCACATGAAAAGGTCTCTGATCCTACCCCAGCCCCCAGCCCCTGTTCTCCAGGATGACACTGTGGGAATTCCATCAGGAGGGGTGTGATAGGGCTGGTCTTCCTGGCTCGATTCACAACACTGGCTGGGGACTGGGAACCCATGGGGAGCCACAGGTGGAAAGGGAGGAGCCTCAGTGAACCCAGCAGGAACAAACATAGGGTCTGACATGATGGAACTCACTTCCTGGAGGCCAAGAAAGACACTTGCGGGACAAAAGGGAAAGAGCGGTGGCTTGCTTAGTTCCATTCACTGACAACCCACAGGAGATGTCCAGTCCTTTTTTGATTTATTATTTTATTTTATTATATTTTATTTTATTTTATTTTATTTTCACATGGAGTTTTGCTCCTATTGGCCAGGCTGGAGTGCAATGGCACGATCTTGACTCACTGCAACCTCCACCTCTCAGGTTCAAGCGATTCTCCTGCCTCAGCCTCCTGCATAGCTGGGATTACAGGCGACTGCCACCACAGCCAGGTAATGTTTGTATTTTTAGTAGAGATGAGGTTTTGCCATCTTGGCCAGGCTGGTCTCAAACTCCTGATCTCATGTGATCCGCCTGTATCAGACTGCCAAAGTGTTGGGATTACAGGCGTGAGCCACCACACCCAGCCTTTTGTATTTTTAGTAGAGATGGGGTTTCACCATGTTGGTCAGGCTGGTCTTAAACTCCTGACCTCAGGTGATCCATCCACCTCGGCCACCCAAAGTGCTGGGAGTACAGATGTTAGCCACCGTACCCAGCGAGAGTTTCAGTGCTCTATCGGATTCCCTGCCTACTCCATGTTGCATGTAATGTTCCACCTCAGGGATGTTTCTCTCCTTTCTGTCTCCTTCCTCTTCTCCTTCTCCTTTTTTCTTTCTAATTTTTATTTTTTTGAGACAGAGCCTTGCTCTGTTACCCAGGCTAGAGTACAGTGGCACGATCCCAGCTCACTGCAACCTCTGCCTCCTGGGTTCAAGAGATTCTCCTGACTCAGCCTCTCAAGTAGCTGGGATTACAGGCACCCGCCATCACACCCAGCTAGTTTTTGTATTTTTAGTAGAGACGAGGTTTCACCATGTTGGCCAGACTGGTCTTGAACTCCTGCCCTCAGGTAATCCACCCGCCTGTGGCCCCCCAAAGTGCTGGGATTACAGGCGTGAGTCACCACTCCCAGCCCTGAATGATCTTTCCTCTTTAGTGTGTTCTCACAACCACCTCTCACTGAGCTTTCTTGTTTTTTGTTTTTGTTTTTGTTTTTGTTTTTGTTTTTGGCAGAGTCTGGCTTTGTTGCCTATGCTGGAGTGCAGTGGTGCAATCTCAGCTCACTGCAACCTCCGTCTCCTGGGTTCAAGCGATTCTCCCACCTCAGCCTCCTGAGTAGCTGGGATTACAGGCACCCACCACCACACCCAGCTAATTTTTGCATTTTTAGTAGACACAGGGTTTCACCATGTTGGTCAGGCTGGTCTCGAACTCCTGACCTTGTGATCTGCCAGCCTCAGCCTCCCAAAGTGCTGGAATTACAGGCATGAGCCACCACTCCCAGCCCTGGATTATCTTTCCTCTTTAGTGTGTTCTCACAACTACCTCTCACTGCTGGGTTTTCTCTCTTTCTTTTTTTTTTTTTTTTTTTTTTTTTTTGAGACAGTCCGGCTTTGTTGCCCAGGCTGGAGTGCAGTGGCGCGATCTCGGCTCACTGCAAGCTCCACCTCCCAGGTTCAAGCGATTCTCCCACCTCAGCCTCCCTAGTAGCTGGGATTACAGGCGCATGCCAGCACACCCAGCTAGTTTTTGTATTTTTAGTAGAGACAGGGGTTTCACCATGTTGGTCAGGCTGGTCTTGAACTCCTGACCTTGTGATCTTCCTGCCTCGGCCTCCCAAAGTGCTGGGATTACAGGTGTAAGCCACTGCACCCAGCCAGCTTTCTCATTCTTATCCCTTAGTTCTCTGCCAGGGAATAAGATAGAAACCATTCCCTCAACCACATTCTAGTCATGGTCCCTATTCTCATGTTTCCACTTCTCTCTCTTTGGTAATAAATCAATTAATTGAGAAACAAGTAGCTAAATGTTCATCTTCTGCTAGTCTGCATCCCCTTATTTTCCCAGAGCCTCCCCTAATGAAACTGACTTTATTTACTGAACGCAGGAAATGGGTCTCTCCAGATCAGGATGACTTTCTGCTGGGAAATATTTGTCTTTGCATCAGTGGGGAAAAAGAAAGCCGATGTCATGAGTGGAGGCTCTGAGAAAATAAGGGCTGTGTTTTCAGTTTAGACCCAGCTAAGTTGGGAGCTGACATAGATATGATGTTGGGTCCACCCTCCACGGGCAGGTTTTCAGACAAAGGATCCCTGGCAATCAGGGGACACCTCAGGTCTGGGCTGAGATGTGTGCAGAGGGCCTGGGTCCTCCTGAGCCCCTGCACTGGGGGGGGAATAAGAGACAGGCCCAGCAAGGGGCTGTCCACTTCCTGTGGGTTCACAGCTGTGGGGACCCAGGCAGGCGGCAGCAGGCTCTGACTTAACCACATCCGTGCATCTGTCTGTCATGGAGGGCCATGTGGTCACCTGTCCCACAGCTGGAGCACGCAGAGCAGGCATCATGGTGTCCATCCTCACTGTTCTTCTGTGCCTCAGTCAGTGGTGGAGAGACGAGGGACAGGAGGGGCACTGGGCTGAGGTGGGGAGGGTCCCACAGCAGCCTTGTTCACCAGAGAGCCTCAGGGCTCCAGTGGCTACTGGTGCTCCAACAGGAAGGGAAGCAGCCACACCTCTGTGTTCCAAATCCCCCACAGGAAACTCTTCTCCATGGCTGAGTCTGGGCCAGAAAGCCCAAGCACTTGCAGGTGAGTCTCTGCTAACCTCCCATGCCTGACCTCACACTCAGCACCTGGACTCTCATCTCAGGGGCTTCTGAACTGAGGGTGAGAAAATCAAGAGGGTCTGTGACCTGAGCTGGGAATGAGGAGCGGGGGAGGTCTGTGGACCCCAGCCTGTGGTTTCTTCCAGGGACCCTCCCCAAACCCAGCCTCTGGGCTGAGCCAGGCTCTGTGATTACCTGGGAGAGCCCCATGACCCTCTGGTGCCAGGGGACCCTGGATACCCAGGGTTACTATCTCACCAAGGAAGGAAACCCCATGACCTGGTACCAACAGAGCCCACCAGAGCCCAGGAACAAGACCAACTTCTTCATCCCATCCATGAGAGAGCACCATGCAGGGAGATACCACTGTCACTATCTCAGCCCTGCAGGCTGGTCAGAGCGCAGCGAGCCCCTGGAGCTGGTGGTGACAGGTAAGAGGACACTCAGGGGTCCCAGCCCCAGGCTCTGCCTGCAGGAAGGGGGTCAGCTCTCAAGGGCATCTCCGTTCTAATAACTCAGCCCTGGGGGATGATGTGGGACGCGTGAGCCCCATTTAAGACAGTGTCTCCTTCTCTCCTAGGAGCCCACAGAAAACCCACTCTCTCAGCCCTGCCGAGCCCTGTGGTGACCTCAGGAGAGAACGTGACCATCCAGTGTAGCTCAAGGGTGGGATTTCACAGGTTCATTTTGATTGAGGAAGGAGAAAACAAGCTCTCCTGGATGCTGGACTCACAGGAACTCTCCAAGGGGCTGTCCCTTGTCCCTGGCCCTGTTCCCTGTGGGCCGTGTGGCTGCCAGTCACCGGTGGATGTTCAGATGCTATGGGCATTACACGAACTTCCCCTGGGTGTGGTCGGAACCCAGTGATACCATGGAGATCCTGGTCTTAGGTATGGATGTCTTCCTCCTTGCCCTATTTATTTTTGAGAACTTACTCTCACGGAGCCCCATGTAGGAGGGTGGAACAAGGGAAGTTTGGGACTCCTGAGCCCAGAGACACTGAGTGTGAGAGACAGTGAGACCTGCAGGGCCAGGAGGGGAGAAGGAAGGGGTGTGGGAGGAACCAGCCCTCCTAGTCCCGACTCTTCTTTCCCTCCAGGCGTGTCTAGGAAGCCCTCCCTCCTGACCCTGCAGGGCCCTGTCGTGGCCCCTGGGGAGAATCTGACCCTCCAGTGTGGCTCTGATGTCGGCTATGACAAATTCACTCTGTACAAGGAGGGGGGACATGACCTCGTCCAGGGCTCTGGCCGGCAGCCCCAGGCTGGGCTCTCCCAGGCCAACTTCACCCTGGGCCCTGTGAGGGTCTCCCACGGGGGCCAGTACAGATGCTACGGTGCACACAACCTCTCCTCCGAGTGGTCGGCCCCCAGTGACCCCCTGAGCATCCTGATCGCAGGTGAGGAGCCCAGCAGGTTCAGTCAGGGACCCAGGCTCCGCACAGGCCCTGCTGGGGGAGCCCAGGTGGTGATGGCCGGGATGAGGGGTGGGGGTCCTAAGGGACGGAGAGACAGACAGAGACAGGGGATGGGCGGGGAGGGGGAGACTCAGAGAAAACAGAGACAGAGACACTGAGGGTCCCAGGGAGAGGCCTGGGGAGGTGTCAGCTCAGAACGAGGTGGGGCAGCCCCTCACCCATCCTTCTTCTCTCCAGGACAGATCCGTGGCAGACCCTCCCTCTCGGTGCAGCCGGGCCCCACGGTGGCCTCAGGAGAGAACGTGACCCTGCTGTGTCAGTCACGGGAGCAGTTGGACACTTTCCTTCTGACCAAGGAGGGGGCAGCCCATCACCCACTGCGTCTGAGATCAGAGCACCAAGCTCAGCAGCACCAGGCTGAATTCCCCATGAGTCCTGTGACCTCAGCCCACGCGGGGACCTACAGGTGCTACAGCTCACGCAGATTCTTCCCCTACCTGCTGTCTCACCCCAGTGACCCCCTGGAGCTCGTGGTCTCAGGTGAGGCCGCTGACCCTGTCCTCTCTGAGCTCAAACCTCAGCTCAGGCCCTGCCCCCAGGAGAGCTCAGGACGCTAAGGAAAGAGGGGAGTAAAGGGGGAGGGTCGGCAGGGGAGGGCCCAGCCCATGAGAGGGTGGAAATAGTCAGGGACCTCCTAATCCTGGGCTCCCACCCCAGAGACCTCAGATGGGGCTAAAGGCCAGGGAGGGCTGAAATGAGATATGGAGAAACCTTGGAGGAATCATGCTTAGGCTGAGGGTAGAAGATGGAGGCCCCACCCACTCCCCACCTGGGCTCCCCTGGCGGCCCCAAAATACTCAGTGCATACCTGAGACGAAGGGGAGATCATGCACCTGCTCACTGCAGCAATGCAGGCAAATTATTCAACAGCAAACCTCGTGTGCAATTCCTTTCTGTCCTTTATTTTTTATGTCCACATATCTAGTTTCTCTTTCTGTTTCTGAAGATTTCAAAGCAATGCTGGCATTTATAATTTACACATTTAATTTGTTAGGTAGCGTTATGATGTAAAATAACTGTGCTCTGATTTTCTTTGGGATTAAATTAAATATGTGCATTCATGATGGAGAATAACTTCTCATTAATAATGTCTTTGTATCCAATACATTTAAAATTAAACTTTATACAGTTAGCAGATGCTTGAAGTTGTATTCATAAAAATTGTGGACATTGTGAATTTTAAGCATTGTTTTACTACTTGAATAATTTGAAAGTCTTTGATTCCTTTCTATTTTCTAAAATTAGTTACGTATGGATGAGAAAGCTATTGGTTTGGGTATGCTAATTTTAGTTCCTATTAACTTACCACAGACACACTCCCTTTCAATCCTTTCCGAAATGATCTCTTCTGATTTATTGATAATAATTACATTAACCACAAGAAAATGGAGGACAAACTTGTTTGTTTCTAAATTATATAATACTCTTCTCACTTCAAATATATATGTATGTGTTTATATATACTCACACACTATTATATATCTTATAATATATATTATGTATTATATATTTATATATACACTATTATATATCTTATATATTATGTATTATATATTTATATATACCCACACATTATTATATCTTATAATATATATTATGTATTATATATTTATATATACCCACACATTATTATATCTTATAATATATATTATGTATTATATATTTATATATGCACTATTATATATCTTATATATTATGTATTATATATTTATATTACCCACACATTATTATATCTTATAATATATATTATGTATTATATATTTATATATACACACACTATTATATATCTTATTATATATTATGTATTATATATTTATATATACTATTATATATCTTATAATATATAATGTATTATATATTTATATATACACACACTATTATATATCTTATATATTATGTATTATATATTTATATATACATACTATTATATATCTTATAATATATTATGTATTATATATTTATATATATACACTATTATATATCTTATTATATATTATATATTTATATATGCACACACTATTACATATCTTATTATATATTTATATGTATACACACACTATTATATATCTTATTATATATTATGTACTATATATTTATATATACTATTATATATCTTATAATATATAATGTATTATATATTTATATATACACACACTATTATATATCTTATATATTATGTATTATATATTTATATATACATACTATTATATATCTTATAATATATTATGTATTATATATTTATATATATACACTATTATATATCTTATTATATATTATATATTTATATATGCACACACTATTACATATCTTATTATATATTTATATGTATACACACACTATTATATATCTTATTATATATTATGTACTATATATTTATATATACTATTATATATCTTATAATATATAATGTATTATATATTTATATATACACACACTATTATATATCTTATATATTATGTATTATATATTTATATATACATACTATTATATATCTTATAATATATTATGTATTATATATTTATATATACACACTATTATATATCTTATTATATATTATATATTTATATATGCACACACTATTACATATCTTATTATATATTTATATGTATACACACACTATTATATATCTTATATATTATATATTTATATATACTCACACTATATCTTATAATACATATTATGCATACACATATGCATAATACATATTATCTATACACATATGCATAATACATATTATGTATACACATATGCATAACACATATTATGTATACACACATATTTACACCTATGCATATATGTATGTATGTATGCGAATGTACCTCTGCCACGGCAGGGAAAGGTTCTATCACACAACTACAGAGCAGTTAGGAGAAGTGTAGACACAAAGGAATGCAGCAACTGAGGGACATGTTGGCTTAAGTCTCTTCAACTCCTCACACACCTCCCCCTTTTTTGGTTGATTCTCAGGAGCAGCTGAGACCCTCAGCCCATCGCAAAACAAGACAGACTCCAAGACTGGTGTGTAAGGAGATGCTCTCGGTTATGGGGCTGGCACAGAGGGTCAGGTCCTGTGAAGGGGAGGTGGGTGCCCTGGGTGGACATCCAGGGGTCCCGGGTGATGTTGATCTGCCCTGACCTCTGAGACCTCTTGGTCCACCATCCCCAGCCTCACACCCCCAGGATTACACAGTGGAGAATCTCATCCGCGTGGCTGTGGCTGGCTTGGTCCTGGTGGTCCTCGGGATTCTGCTGCTTTAGGACTGGCACAGCTAGAGAAGTCCCCAAGATGCAGCAAGGAGGTAAATACATGAGAGAACAATGCACCCTTCAGAGTGCCAGAGCCTTGGCAATGAATCTGATAGTCCTAGGAGGTTCTGGAAGAAAGTCTGGACCATCATTCGGGAAACCGTCTACTGAGAAAGTCGAGAAGGGGAGGCTTGGGTCAGGTTCAGGAAGATGTCTGGGTGCCTGTAGAGAACGCTTCCTCCATTAAACTTCCATTAAATGGCAGTGCTTTCAGTCCTGCTGTTGTGGATCCTCCGTGTCTGCCCCTCCCTTCCTTTCGCTCTCTGTGATGTGAAGGCACGTCCCCCATGGTGGGTTTGCATCCACACCCCTGCGATCACGTGCTCTGGTCCACTGTCATGTAATACATTTGTCTTTGTTTCCAACTACCGCATTCTCTAAAGTGAACTATTGATTCTCCATCTTTTCAGTTCTGAGCATAGATCTGGATTAAATAACTGGAATAGGTGGGCAGATTTGTATTTGGGACTTTGAAACATGAGTCTGAGGCCAGGCACAGTGGCTCACACCTGTAATCCCAGCACTTTGGGAGGCTGAGGTGGGCGGATCACTTGAGGTCAGAAGTTCGAGACCAACCTGGCCAACATGGTGAAACCCTGTCTCTACTAAAAGATACAAAAATTAGCTGGGTGTGGCAGTGAGCACCTGTAATCCCAGCTGCTCAGGAAGCTGAGGCGGGAGAATAGCTTGAACCCGGGAGGCGGAGGTTGCAGTGAGCCAAGATCTTGCCACTGCACTCCAGCCTGGGCAACAGAGCAAGACTCCATCTCCAAAAAAAAAAAAAAAAAGGGAAATATGAGTCTGAAATGATGCCCTAGCACCCTCTCTGGACCCTGAATTCCCTTCACTCTTCATCGGATGATACCTGTGTACTTTGTCCAGAAATATCATCTCTCAGAATGAGCACACTAACGCTCGAAGGCTCAGCCTCATGGTATTCTGTTAAACTGGCTCTCTGAAAAAATTATTTTCTTAAGAAAACTCTGAACATATAAAGCCCCAGATTTATGGTATTTGCTGATTAGTGTGGTATAAATACGTCCTTTATGGCCAACTTCAGGGTGCCCATATGACGCCATTGAATGCACAGTTGGGAAGTAGTCAAAAGAATTGTCGTTCACACGAGTATGAACCAGTTGTAAAGTTTATTTAAAGGTTATAATAATTTCTGCTTCATTCTTATGGTGTAGTTTCAGTAAAATTGTAATGTCAAAAATCATAGCACAATGGAGGGAAAAGAAAAAAATAGGCCGGGTGTGGTGGCTCATGCCTGTAATCCCAACACTTTGGGAGGCCGAGGCAGGAGGATCACCTGAGGTCAGGAGTTCGAGACCAGCCTGGCCAACATGGTGAAACGCTGTCTCTACTAAAAATACAAAAATTAGCCAGACATGGTGGCGCCTGCCTGTAATCCCAGCTACTTGGGAGGCCAAGGCACGAGAATCGCATGAACCCAGGAGGCGGAGGTTGCAGTGAGCCGAGATCACTACAGCCTGGGTGATAGAGCAAGACTCAGTCTCAAGAAAAGAAAAAAGTAGCAAAATCATTTTTTGGAAAGAATATTGAACATGTAGAATTTTAGTACATTAATAGTAAGAGTACAAATTGCTTTAATCAATTAAGGAAGTGTATTGGAATTATCTAGTTAAAAAGAGGAGGCACACGGCTGTGACCCTTCTTAATTATGTACTTAATTATGTACCCTAGAGATAAATGTCTACTTATGTGTCATGATACACTCACAACTGTTATAGGAATGCTGTTCCTATTAGCCAAAGCTATAAAATACCAAAGTCCACCTACGAAAAAAATAAACATAGTGTGGTAAATAGACTCAGTGGAATATTACAAGGTAGTAAAATGCATAAATGAAAATAACAAACAGCACCATACTTCAATTTTCAAGCATAAAGTCAAGTAAATGAAGTATTATTTGAAAATGTGTGCATGGTTATTTCATTACATAAAGGTCAAAAGGAGGGTACATTTATTATTTAGGAAAACACACCTAAGATATCTTTGTAAAATCTGTAAAATCAATAGTACTGTTTCCCCTCTTTCATTCCTTATCTTGAAAATGCTTGTCTCTTTTTCTGCCATGGCTTTCTACCTTGCTTGATATATTACAATTTTGTAACCTGCTTATTTCATCATATGTCATAAGTTCACATGTATATCCCATGAATTATTGAGGGTCTTATTCATTTCAAGTGGCATTTAGGTTTTTAAAAATATCTTTTGGCGACCAGGTGCAGTGGCTCATGCCTGTAATCCCAGCACTTTGGGAAGCCAAGGCAGGTGGATCACGAGTTCAAGAGACAGAGATCATCCTGGCGAACATGGTGAAACCCCGTCTCTACTAAAAATACAAAAAAAAAAAAAATTAGCTGGGCATGGTAGAGGGTGCCTGTAGTCCCAGCTTCTCAGGAGGCTGAGGCGGGAGAATGGCGTGAACCCGAGAGACGGAGGTTGCAGTGAGCCGAGATCGTGCCACTGCACTCCAGCCTGGCAACAGAGTGAGACTCTGTCTCAAAAAAAAAAAAAAAGAAAGAAAGAAAGGAAGAAAAAAAAATCTTCTGGCATTAACTATTAAGAAATTGCACTATAAAAAGAGAATATAATGCATAAGACGGCAATTTGAAAAGATTCAGATATAATTTTTTCTTATCTAGTAAATACTTAGTAATTTGTCTAATGCATGCCTTAAATACATACCACTTTATGCAGAGGTTGCCATGAGCCGAGATCACGCCGTTGCACTCTAGCCTGGGTGGCAGAGCAAGACTCCATCTCAAAAAAAAAAAAGAAAATCTCACAGAAGGAGACCCAGAGCTTCCAGCCTCGCCCAGAGTCTTGGCTCACTCCCTGTGTGTGTGGACCCTAGGGAGCCTCTTCTGTTCCCCACAGAGGTGGAAACTTCCTCCTTAATAACCCCTTGATGGTCCCAGGCACTGGTGACCACTGAGCTTTGCTCTCTCTTTTTTCTTATGGTTCCCTGTCTACTTCCAGGGCTATCACTTTACTTTTTGTGCATTAGACCATGAATAATGTTTTAGAAACATTCTATCAAATTTCTCAGTGCTAGGAACAACTGAGGTTTTTGATTGGGTGCCTCAAATGTCTACCCTTACTGTGGAGTCCGACAACAGGATTCTAACAAGTCCCAACCCCTTCATGCCTTAACCTGGTCTGGAAATAAATTATGTTTAAGCCATCCCATACCCCAGCCACATCAAGCCCCACAACCACTCTGAGAAGTGAGATTTATAGCAAAATGCTCCAAACAAGGTAACTAAGGTTCAGACAAGGGATGTTAATGTGTCCATTTACATAAACAAAAAATGGTAGATGATCAGCTTTCCCTTTGAAATCAGAGTACTAATCTGACTCATTGTTCCCTGAATTTTAGAGGCAGGACCTCAGGAGGAGCTAAGAATCCTACCCCAGGAAAATTACCAATATCAGAAAGGAAACAATGACATCAGTACAGATCCTACAGAATTCAAAAGATTCTAAGTGGACATTATGAAGACATTATTCAGCTTAGATGAAGTGGTCACATATCACAAGAAAACAAACTGTCTAAAACAATCTCTGAAATACCTAGACATTCCCTGAATCATTGAGTTATTAAATAAAATACATTTTAAAATTAAACTCTTTTCAGGAAATAAACTTCAATGTCCCCTAGTGCACTCTCCAAAACATGTAGATAGGAATAAATACTGTTCTGAAAGACATTTCCCTGGAATTACAACCATTCAATATATTTTAAAAGGCAATCATAAAAATATAAAAAGGATATATCAGGAGAAGAAATGTAAATGGCCTAAATTCCCCACATAAAAGGCATAGAGTGGCAACGTGGATAAAAAGCCAAGAGCCAACTGCCTGCTGTCTTCAAGAGACCCATCTCACATGTAATGACACCCACAGGCTCAAAGTAAAAGGATGAAGAAATATTTACTAGGCAACCAGGAAACAAAAAAAAGGAAGGCATTCCTATTCTTATATCACATGAAACACACTTTAAATCAACAGCAATCAGGAAGGACAAAGAAGGGCATTACAAAATGATAAAGGGTTCAATTTGACAGAAGACTTAACTATTCTAAATATATATGCACCCAAATTTGGAGCACCCCGATTCATAAAACAAGTTATTCTTCACCTATGAAAAGAGTTAGACAGCCACACAATAATAGTAAGGGACTTCAGTATCCCACTAACAACGTCAGATGAATCACTAAAACAGAAAACTAACAAAGAAATTCTGGTCTTAAAGACAACACTTGACCAATTGGACCTCATAGACATCTACAGAGTACTCCACCCAACAACTGCAGAATATAGATTCTTCTTATCTGCACACACAAAAAACATATCATATTCTAAGACTGGCCACAAAGCAAGTCTCAATAAATTCAAAGAATCAAAATCATAACAAGGCACACAATAAAAATAGAAAAAAATACCAAGATGATCTCTCAAAACTACAGAAAAACATGGAAATTTAACAACTTGTTTCTGAATGAATATTAAGAGCCATCTATGACAAATCCACAGCCAACATCATATTGAATGGTCAAAAGCTGGAACTGTACCCCTTGAGAACTCTTGGGTGAACAATGAAATTAAAGCAGAAATCACAAAACATTATTTAAAATTAATAAAAATAGAAACAAACTTACCAAAACCTTTGGGATGCAGTTAAAGCAGTGATAAGAGGAAAATTTATAGCAATACATGCCTCATCAGAAGTTTAGAAAGATCTCAAATTAGTGACTTAACACTGCATCTAGAGGAACTATTAAAAAAAAGGAACAGTCCAAACCCAAGGCCAGCAAAAGATGAGAAATAACTAAAGTCAGAGAGAACTGAATAAATTGAGACCAAAAAGTCCATACAAGAGATAAATAAAACCAAGAGTTTTTCTTTGAAAAAAAATAAACAAAATTCATAGACTGTTAGCTAGATTAACAAAGAAAAAGAGAAAAGATCCAAATAAACACAAATAGAACTGACAAAACAATGTTACGAACAATCCCACAGAAATAGAAAAGATCGTCAAAGACTATTATGAACACCTCTATACAAACAAGCTAGAAAACCTAGAAGAAATGGATAAATTCCTGGTAACACAAAATTTATCATATTTCAACCAGGAAGAAAGTGAAAACCTGAACAGACCAATAACAAGTTCAGAAATTTAATCAGTAATAAAAACCCTACTAACTAAAAATAGCCCAGGACCAGACGGATTCACAGCCAAAATCCAACAGCCATACAAAGAAGAACTGATACCGATCTTACTGAAACTTTTGGAAAAAATCAAGGAGTGGGGGCTTCTTCCTAACTCATTCTATGAAGCCATCATCACCATGATACCAACATCTGTCAGAGACATAATGAAAAAAAGAAAACTACAACTAAATATCCTTAATGAACATAGACATAAAATCCTCAACAAAATGCTAGCAAATTGAATCTGTCAGTGCATCAAAAGTTAATTCACATGATCAAGTAAGCTTTATTTTTGGGATGCAAGGTTGGTTCAACCTACAAAGTCAACGAATGTGATTCACCTCATAAACATAATTAAAAACAAAAACTATATGATCATCTCAATAGATGCAAAAAAAGCTTTCTGTAAAATCCAACATCCCTTCATGATAAAAACTGTCAATAGGCATCAAAGGAACATACCTCAAAATATTAAGAGCCATCTATGACAAACCCACAGCCAACATCATATTGATGGGCAAAAGCTGGAACCATACCCCTTGAGAACCGAAACAAGACCAGGATGACCACTCCCGCCATTTTAATTCAACATGGTACTGGAAGTCCTAGCCAAAGCAATCAGGCAAGAGAAGGAAATAAAAGGCATTAAAATTGGAAAAGAAGTAGTGATACTGTCTCTCTTTGCTGATGAAATAATTTTATACATAGAAAACCCTAAAGACTCTGTCAGAAGGCTCCTGAAACTGATAAACAAATTCAATAAAGTTTCGGGATTAAAAAAATGTACACAAATTAGTAACATTTCTATGCACCACTAACATTCTAGCTGAGAACTAAATCAAGAACACAATTCCATTTACACTAGCCACAAAGAAAATAAAATACCTAGGAATCCATCTAACCAAGAAGGTGAAAATTCTCTACAAGGAGAACTACAAAACACTTCTGAAAGAAATAAGAAATGATACAAACAAATGGAAGAATATTCCATGCTCATGAATTAGGAGAACAAATAGTTAAAATCGCCATACTTCCAAAAACAAATTGCAGAGTCAATGCTATCCATTTCAAAATGCAATGTCATTTTTCACGAAATTATAAAAATTTATTCTAAAATGTATTTGGCACCAAAAAAAGAGCCTGAATACACATAGGAATCCTAAGCACAAAGAACAAAGCCCAGGCATCACATTACCCAACTTCAAACTATACTACAATGCTATAGTAACCCAAACAGCATGATACTACTACAAAAACAGACACATAGACCAATGAGACAGAATAGAGAACCCAGAAATGAGGCTACATACCTACAATCATCTTTGAAAAAATTGACAAAAACAAGCAATGTGGAAAGTACCCTTTCTTCAATAAATAGTTCTGGGATAACTGACTACTCATATGCAAAATAATAGAACTGGACCCCTAACTCTCACTATATACAAAAATTAACCCAAGATAGTTTAAAGATTTAAATGTAAAACCTCAAAATATTAAAATTCTAGAAGAAAACCTAGGAAATATCCTTCTCAAGATAGACTTTGGCAAAGAATTTATGGCTAACTCCCCAAAACCAATTGTGACAAAGACAGAAATTGGGACCTAACTCAACTGAAGAGCTTCTGCACAGCAAACGAAAGTATCAACAGAGTAAACAGATAACCTACAGACTGGGAGAAAATATTTGCAAACTATGCATCTGACAAAGTTCTAATATCCAGAATCTATAAGGAATGTAAACAAATCAACAAGCAGAAAACCAAAAAACCTCAATTAAGTATGACATGAACAGACACTTCTCAAAAGAAGATGTACACATGGCCAAAAAACATATGAACAAATGCTTATTATCAGTAATCATCAGAGAAATGCAAATTAAAACCACAGTGAGATACCATCTCACAACAATCAGAGAAGCAGAAGCAATTACTAAAAAGTTTTTTGTTTTTTTTAATAACAGATGCTGACAAGATTGTGGAGAAAAGGGAACACTTATACACTCTTGGTGGGAATGTTAACTAGTTCAGCCAATGTGATAAGCAGTTTGGAGACTTCTCAAATAACTTAAAATAGAACTACTATTCAATCAAGCAATCCCACTACTGGGTATATACCAAAAGGAAGGTAATTAACTATGTCAAAAAGACACATGCACTAGTATATTCATTGCTGTGCAATTCAGAATAGCAAAGATTTGCAGTCAACCTAAGTGCTCACCAACAGTGGATTAGTTAAAGAAAATGTGCTACATATACACATGGAACATTACATGGCCATAAAAAATAATGAAATCATGTCCTTTGCAGCAACATGAATGTAGCAGGAGGTCAATCTCCTAAGTGAACTAACCCAGGAACAGAAAACCAAATACCACATGTTATCACTTATAACTGAGAACCAAACATTGAATACACATGAACATAAAGATGGAAACAACAGATACCGAGGACTACAGATGGGGGGAGGAGTAGGGAGGTATAGGCTGAAGAAACACCTGTTGGATTCTATGCTCATTGCCTGGGTGATGGCATTGTTGGAACCACAAACCTCAGAGTCACACAATATGCCTATGTAACAAACCTGCATGCATACCTTTAATCTACAGTAAAGGTTGAAGTTATTTAAAAATAGGAAGAAGAATTACCCTATACCTAAAGCTAAGATTTTTCCCTTTGAATATTCGTTTCTTCATCACTGTAGATAAGCAGGGAAAGAAAAATTATTATACTATACTAGCCTTTTATGTGACCATGAGGATTTGGGGTAGGTAGGTGGACAGCTTAGATAATTCACCAGGATATTGATACAGGCTCCATGGCTGGAAATAACCAAGGATGAGTGCTGTGTTTTGAGTGGTCTCCCCCAGAAACGTTTGTTGAAATCCTAACCCCTGGTATGTATGAATGTGAATTCATATTATATAAAAAGGAATAAATAGCCTGAGCACAGTGGCTCACACCTGTAATCCCAGCACTTTGGGAGGCCAAAGCAGGTGGATCATTTGAGGTCAGGAGTTCTGGCCAATATGGCAAAACTTCATCTCTACAAAAAAAAAATACAAAAAAAAAAATTGGCTGGGTATGGTGGCGCATGCCTGTAGTCCCAGCTACTCAGGAGGCTGAGGCAGGAATTGCTGAAACCTGGAAGGCAGAGGTTGCAGTGAGCCAAGATCATGCCACTGCACTCCAGCCTGGGTGAGACGGCAAGATATTCTGTCAAAAATAAATAAATAAAAAACAGAAGAAGAAATACAAGAATGACAGCAAACTTTGTATTCAAAACTATGAAAGTAAGAAACAGGTGGACCAACATTTTTAAAGTGCTACAAGAAAATATTTCAAACTAGAATCTTTCAACCTGAAAAGGAAAACATTTTCCTGCAATAAAGGTGCCATTAAAAATGTCTCACAATTTATTACATGAAGCATTGTTCTACAATAAATGTTAAGCTCTTGAAGCAAAGATTAATGATACCATTTAGTAACTTGAAATTCAAAAAAGTGGAAGTATCCCAAGAGGCAAATACGTGTGCAATTATTAAATGTTTCATATCAACACCCAACCTTATGCTGTCTACATAAGCTGCACTTCAAATACTAATCCACAAGATGTAAATATTGAAAGAATGACATTACCTTGTCATGATAATGCCCAGTGCAAAATATGCTTCTAGTCAGTTGTATACATAGAATAGGTAAATGTTTGTAATAAAAAGTATTCCTCAATAGAAGTTTCTTAACTCAAAGAATGAAATATTTCACCATGCACATACAAAGAAGAGATATATGGAGATATGAAGAGGAGTACTTCATAATGACAAAGAGGCAAATTCATAAATAAGACATAATCATCCTAAATGCCTACACACCTAAAGCTGGAACCTCAAAACACATTAAATTAAAGGCATAATTCAAAACATAATCAATCACATCCAAATTGCAGCTAGAGATAGCAACATTCACCTCACTTCCAGAACAAGTACACAGAAAATTATTAAGCATATGAAAGACTTGAAAAACATTTGTGTAGGCGGCGGGTGCATAAGGTTGGGTGTTGATATGAAACATTTAATAATTTCAATAATCCTAGCACTTTGGGAGGCCAAAATGGGAGGATCACTTGAGGCCAGGAGTTTGAGACCAGCCTGGGCACCATAGTGAGACCCCGTCTCTATTTTTTTTAAATAAAGAAAAACATTTGAATGATTTTTTTCTTAACTGACATTTAGAAAGCATCCACCTCAAATCTTCCTAATCCACAAACTTGTCTAGCACCCCTGGAACATTCACCAAAATAAATTTTTAAATGCTGAATCATAGGTAATATGATAGATGAAACAGTTGAATTAAATTATAAATGTACAACAAGGAAATGCTGGGGAAATTATCAAATATTTTAAAATTAATAAACACACATAGCAATAAACAATGAGTGGAAGAAAAACATTTCAAAGAAAGGTGGAAAATATTTTGTATCAATTAAAAATGAAAACACATCTCGGCAAATGACTGGGGATACAGATAGAACAGCGTTAAGGGACAATAAGCCTCAAATGTCTGTGTTAGAAAAGAAGGAAGAGCTGAGTAAATAGGTAACTTTCACTTGCAGAAATACTACACATCAGCAAATTAATTCCAAAGTAACGTCGAGGAAAAACATAAAATGGCAAGCAAATATATACGTGCATATGTACATACATTCATAAATGACAAACAGGACAGAAAAATCAGTGACATCAATTTTGTTCCTTAGAAGAAACAGGAAAATTGACCCCAAAAAACTTTCCAGGCCACATTTGGTCATGATGGAAATATTTTGGCACTTCCTGGTTAAGCTCAACACCAACTTGCACCCAAAACCAATAATTTCATTTCTAGGTAAATATGTCTAATTAATTCAGCATATGTATGCAAGGGATCACACAGAAACACGATTATCAAGGCCCGAGTTATAAAAGAGAAAATCCGGAAACAACACAAATGTCCATGATAAAAAGAATGGATAATTACATGTTGATAAAGTTATGCATGGACTATTAAACTGCAATCCAAAAGAATAAAATAGAGCTATAAAATTCAATATGTATATGGTGTCATAGAAACACAAATGTGAGAAAAAGAAAGAAAAATACAAAATTTATATTTTTTAAAATTTGAAACAACTATATATGTGAGTGCTTAGGGTGTGTGTGTGTGTGTGTGTGTGTGTGTATAACCATATGTATATAAATGCACACATACGCACACATATAGAATGTCCCGGCCAGGCATGGTGGCTCACACCTGTAATCTCAGCACTTTGGGAGGCTGAAGTAGACAGATCACTTGAGGTTAGGAGTTCAAGACCAGCCTGGCCAACATGGAGAAACCTCCTCTCTACTAAAAGTACAAAAATTAGGTGGGCGTGGTGGTGGGTGCCTGTAAATCCAGCTACTTAGGAGGCTGAGGCACGAGAATTGCGTGAACCTGGGAGGTGGAGGCTGCAATGAGCCGAGGTCTCACCACTGCATTCCAAACTGGGTGACGAAGTGAGATTGCGTCTCAAAAAAAAAAAAAGTTCTAAAAGTTGTGACTTGGGTGTGGCAGATTGTGACATACTGCCAGCTGCTAGAAATGCTGGGGCAGGAGGATTGCTTGAACTCTGAAGTCAAAGAACAGCCTGGGGAAAATAGCACATGAAGAAGAGTTTGAATCTCAGATAAAAACAACAAAAATACATCAAAAGTCTTTAATGTAAGCCAAGCATTCAGTCATCTCCTGTATGAGAGATTGGATCTGAGACGTGTTTTGAGTTGGTTATAGTGAAGGATGCAAGGTGTCAATTCTAGTTGGAACAATTTCCAGGAAGCCATGTTCTGCTCTTGACCAAACAGCCACTGGGCCTCATGCAAGGTAGAAATAGCCTGCATACGTCATCCTCCCATGATGTGGTCAGCATGTAAACTGCATGAGCCCCTCACAACATCCTGTGTGCTGCTGAACTGAGCTGGGGCGCAGCCGCCTGTCTGCACCGGCAGCACCATGTCGCTCATGGTCGTCAGCATGGCGTGTGTTGGTGAGTCCTGGAAGGGAATCGAGGGAGGGAGCGGTGGGGTGGAGATCTGGGCCTGGAGTGGAGATATGGGCCTGGAGTGGAGATATGGGCCTGGAGTGGAGATATAGGCCTGGAGTGGAGATATGGGCCTGGGGTGGAGATATGGGCCTGGAGTGGAGATATGGGCCTGGAACTGTAGATATGGGCCTGAAGTAGAGATATGGGCCTGGAGTAGAGATATGGGCCTGGAACTGTAGATATGGGCCTGGAGTGGAGATATTGGCTTGGAGTGCAGATATGGACCTGGAATTGAGATACGGGCCTGGAGGTGGAGATATGGGCCTAGAGTGGAGATATGGGCCTGGAGGTGGAGATATGGGCCTGGAACTGTAGATATGGGCCTGGAGTAGAGATATGGGCCTGGAGTGGAGATGTTGGCTTGGAGTGCAGATATGGGCCTGGAATGGAGACACGGGCCTGGAGGTGGAGATACAGGCCTGGAGGTGGAGATATGGGCCTGGAGTGTAGATATGGGCCTGGAGTAGAGATATAGGACAGAGGTGGAGATATAGGCCTGGAGTGGAGATATGGGCCTGGAGTAGAGATATAGGACGGAGGTGGAGATATGGGCCTGGAGTGGAGATATGGGCCTGGAGGTGATGTACAGATGGATCATCCATCATGATCTTTCTTTCCAGGGTTCTTCTTGCTGGAGGGGCCCTGGCCACATGTGGGTGAGTCCTTCCCCCAAACCTTAGGTTGTCATCTCCCCACATAAGATGATGTTCCTGAAACGGGAGGCAGGCGACACAGGGGGTTGACTGATGGGCTGACCATGGGAAGCCATGTGGGAATCTCTCATGAACTAGGAAAAGGAAGCCAGGGGAAGCTTCGCCACAGTTCTGTCCTAGCCCTCCCCGGCCTTTCTTTCCCTTGGCTGAGTCTGTGGGGACCCAGGGGGAGACTGAAGTGCTCAAAGGAGTGGTGTGCAGGGAGGAAGTGGTGTCACCGGCAGAGGAAGGGAGAGAAGCAGTGCAAGGAACAACAGGCCTCTGAGGACAAGAGCATAACTCACACCCTCCAGCGTTTCCATGACGGTAGGGGCTGCAATGTGGCTGCTGTCATTCTACCTAAGAGGTGGGGGAACCACAGTCATGACCCTGACATTCCAGATCTTCTAATAGGGGCTCAGTTGTTTATTATGGTTCATGCATTAGCTGATCATGCCCTCCATCCTGTGTCTACCTTGTGTTCTTTTATGTAAGTAATTTTGCAGTGTTAAAATCTAGTAAGAGTCGCTTCTTCAGCACCTGCTCAAAGTTCTCAGCTGACACTTGCTGTAGGGAGACGCCATGTCTATGCGGGATGGGTCCTTCCTGTAGCCCTGGGCACCCAGGTGTGGTAGGAGCCTTAGAAACGTGGAAATGGGAGAATCTTCTGAGCACAGGGAGGGAGGGGCGGCTCCACATCCTCCTCTCTAAGGTAGTGCCTCCTTCTCCCCCAGGTGGTCAGGACAAGCCCTTCCTCTCTGCCTGGCCCGGCACTGTGGTGTCTGAAGGACAACATGTGACTCTTCAGTGTCGCTCTCATCTTGGGTTTAACGAATTCAGTCTGTCCAAAGAAGACGGGATGCCTGTCCCTGAGCTCTACAACAGAATATTCCGGAACAGCTTTCTCATGGGCCCTGTGACCCCAGCACATGCAGGGACCTACAGATGTTGCAGTTCACACCCACACTCCCCCACTGGGTGGTCGGCACCCAGCAACCCTGTGGTGATCATGGTCACAGGTCAGAGGCTTTCTGTCTGGGCTTCTCACTGTCCCACCTCCTGAATCCCAGAGCTTCTGGTGGGGGCGTCCATCAGGGTCCAATCATCCAGGCCCAGACTGTATTTGGGGTAAAGGGGGATTCAGTACAGAGAAATAGTTGCTGTGGTGGGAAGAATAATTGTCCCCAGTGATGGCTACATGGTAATCCATGAACCCTGTGACTATTTATGTCATAGGGCAGGGGACTGAAGGGGAAGATGGAGCTCAGGTTGTTGATGAGTTGACCTTGCGATGGGGAGACAGCCTGGACTGTCCTGCTGTGCTCAGAGTAATCACAAGGGTCCTCATGAGAGGAGGAGGAAGAGGAAAGTGGGGTTAGAGCAACGTCGTGGGAGGGAGACTCCATCAGCCACAGCGGGCTTTGAAGATGGGGGAAGGCCATGAGCCACAAAGGCAGTTGGCCTCTAAGGGCTGGAGAAGTCAAGGGAACTGATTCTTCCCTGAGTCTCCAGAGGAAACACAGCCCTGTAGATGCCTTGATTTTAGCCCAGAGAGAACTGGGTCCGATTTCTGTTCTCCAGAAGTGGAAGGGGTCATTGTATTCTCTCCTGCCCCATGTTTGTGACAATTTTCTCCAGCAGCAACAGGAAACCAACACAGGAACCCAGGTGAAGCACAAGTTAAGAAACCAAACAAGGAGAAGGTTGGCTACACTGATTTTAGCATGGGTGGGATACTGATGCTACCACCAGGCTCGATCCACATAGGGAGGGGTTGATGCTCCTGGAACCAGCACCAGGGGCCACCCTATGGAAGCTGGGGCCATGGAGAAGGCACAGACATGACAGGAGAGGCTCCCAATCCCCATCAGGAACAGGGACACTGATGCCTGCCTTACTGATGAGTTCGTACCTCCTGCCAGCCTTTCCAATCTGTCCAAAAGAGATTGATTCAGGCTGCTAAGAGCCTGGACATGCAGCCTGTCGTGGTTCCTCTTCCACCCCCACATAAACACCAGGAAAGAGATTAGTGGGAAACAGATACAACAGCATAAGAGGTGACACTGAGCACAGTGGGAAGGGAATCAGGGCTACTAGAGACAGAGAGACAGGGAAGAGGGAGGGAGACAGATGGAGGGACCTGCAACAGGGGTTATGGGCACAAAAGAACACGGAGACACAGAGAGGAAGGAGAGAGATAGACACCATGGAGGGGAAGCCTCACTTATTTCAGGTCCCATGAATGGGATGAGAAAGGGAGACGCCTTCTGAACTCACAACCTCTCTTCTTAGGAGTCCACAGAAAACCTTCCCTCCTGGCCCACCCAGGTCCCCTGGTGAAATCGGGAGAGACGGTCATCCTGCAATGTTGGTCAGATGTCAGGTTTGAGCGCTTCCTTCTGCACAGAGAGGGGATCACTGAGGACCCCTTGCGCCTCGTTGGACAGCTCCACGATGCGGGTTCCCAGGTCAACTATTCCATGGGTCCCATGACACCTGCCCTTGCAGGGACCTACAGATGCTTTGGTTCTGTCACTCACTTACCCTATGAGTTGTCGGCTCCCAGTGACCCTCTGGACATCGTGGTCGTAGGTGAGAGAATACAGACCTGCCTCTCACCCTTGCTGGGAGATGGAGTGAATGATCTAGGACTGGAAGCCCCAGGTGGTCATGAGGAAGATGAGTGTGGGGTTCCTATGGAGAGAAAGTGACTTGGTGAGGTCTGTACCAACAAAGGCAGAGAAACAGGAGACACAAGTACAGACCTCATGTCATAACATAGAAGCCAGACACAGGGGCCATACAAGGTGTTAGAAAAAGAGATAAAGAGGTAAAGAAGACACAGAGAGACAGATATATCCCAGAGAGAGGTGTCCTTCTATGCTGACTTTGTTCAGAGACCAGGCACAGGTTAGAAGGTTCCATTCTGTTTTACCTCTACAAAGTGTTCTCTCCCAGGAGAACCCAAAGAGACACATCTATCTGGCCTGAGTTGGGCCGTGTGGCCCCAGGCTGGTGGCACCTACAGATGCTGTGTTTATTCTTAAACCTCTGCCTTCCGTGCAGTGGAGCTGTCGTCGTCGCAGGACACCATGGCCCCAGGTGAGGGAGCAGAACACCAACCCCTGTATGTTGTGAGTTCCTGGAGTCCCCATACTGGATTCTGAGGCTCATATTCAAATAGCACCACATGTTATAGGATTACTGAGAACAAAAGCCCACAGAGAGACACGGAGTGAAATCAGGGAAATCAAAAAGCAAAGACATGAACACACACACAGAATGAGCCAGAAGAAGGGAATTGAGAGACTCACAGACACATAAAGAGATAGAAAAAGAGGGCAGAGAAGTGGAGCGTATGATGGAAGGAAGCAGAGAAAAGCCCTAAAATCAGAGCCCTGAGGGAGGGGCACAAAGACAGGGAAAGATAAAGATGTGGGGATGGATTGCAGAGACTCCAAAAGGGAACTAGAGAGACTGAGAGGCAGAGAAAGACAAGGAGATGGAGAGAGACAGATGATAGATGGATAGATAGATATAGATAGATGAAAGATAAAAGGTAGATGATAGATAATAGAGAGACAGGTGATAGACAAATAGATGATGAATGACTGATAGATGATATAGATAGACAAGTAGAAAGACAGACAGATGATATATAAATAGATATAGAGAGATAGAAAGACAGATAAACACATGATGATAGATGGATAGATGCATACATACATACATTGATTGATAGATGATAGATAACAGAGAGATAGGTCATAGATACACAGATGATGATAGATGATAGATACATACATAGATAAATGATAGATCGATCAATAGATAGTAGATAGAAATATGCAGAAAGTTATGAGCAAGACAGAAAGTGAGAGACTCAGAATTAAAGAAAGAGGAAGATCAAGTCAACCAGTCCAAGGAGGGTCAGAGAGAATAAAATGGTACAAAAAAAGAAAACATAGCTAGGGATGGAGAAGTGAGGTCAGAGACCTAGAGAGACAGAGAAGGTGGAAGGAGGAAATAGACATGAAGAGAGATGGGGGTGGAGGGTGAGAGAGAGAAAGAGAGCATTAAGTCATAGAGCAGGGGAGTGAGTTCTCAGCTCAGGTGTGAGGAGAGCTGTGACAACGAAGAACCTCCCTGAGGAAACCACCTCTTCTCCTTCCAGGTCTATATGGGAAACCTTCTCTCTCAGCCCAGCCGGGCCCCACGGTTCAGGCAGGAGAGAATGTGACCTTGTCCTGCAGCTCCCGGAGCTTGTTTGACATTTACCATCTATCCAGGGAGGCAGAGGCCGGTGAACTTAGGCTCACTGCGGTGCTGAGGGTCAATGGAACATTCCAGGCCAACTTCCCTCTGGGCCCTGTGACCCACGGAGGGAACTACAGATGCTTCGGCTCTTTCCGTGCCCTGCCCCACGCGTGGTCAGACCCGAGTGACCCACTGCCCGTTTCTGTCACAGGTGAGAAAACACCATGCCTGTCCCATGTCTTGTGATCCTAGAGCCATAGCTGAGGAGCTTCCTGCTGATGATGGAGAGAAGCATGGACAGATGCCGAGACAGAACACACAGCATGGGTGTAAGGGCGGGGTCAGGGGGCAGGATGGCAGACAGGGCACCTCCAAACCCTCCTGTATGGCCTGCAAGGAGGCCCTTGATCAGGGTTCCAGGCACCCAGGCAGATGGAGAAAGAGGTCAGAACAGACCCAGAGGAGGGAGACTGGGCTCTGCCTGGGGAGATCAGAGGTTCTCTCAGCCCCTCAACCTTACCCACTTCCCAGAAGCCCATCCTGGCCTGTCACCCACAGAGAGATGTCATCACCAGCAACGCCTACACCCTTTTCTTTTTGTTTGAAGAAATATTTATTGAGGTGAAATATACCTATGTAATTTACCACCTTTACCATTTTTAAGTGTGAAGTCTACTGTTCATAAATACATTTATAGGCTGGGCACGGTGGCTCACTGTTGTAATCCCAACACTTTGAGAGGCCAAGGCAGGTGGATCATTTGAGATCAGGGGCTCAAGACCACCCTGGCCAACATGGGGAAAATCCATCTGTACTAAAAATACAAAATAATAATAATAATGATAATAATTAGCCGAGCATGGTGGCACATGCCTGTAGTCCCAGCTACTTGGGAGGGTTGGGCAGGAGTTGCACTTAATTGCAGGAGGCGGAGGTTGCAGTGAGCTGAGATCATGCCACTGCACTGCAGCCTGGGCAACAGAGAGAGACACTCTCTCAAAATTAATTAATTAATTAATTAGTATTCTTTTTTTTTTACCCTCCACCCTTCCCTTCCTGGCCTCTGGTAGCCACCATTCTACTCTCTACCTTTGTGAGATCCACCTTTTAGCTCCTGCATATGAGTGAGAAATGGAAATACTTGTAATGACCTCCAGTTCCATTCATGTGGCTGTAAATGACAGGATGTTACTCTTTCTATGGATGAGTTGTCCCTATTGTGTGTGTGTACCACATTCTCTCCATCCATTCACCCACTGATGGGCGGGTAGGTTGATCCACATCTTGGCTACTGTGAACACTGCTGGAACAGTCATGGGAGTGCAGATGTCACTTCGATACGCTGATGTCCTTTCCTTTGGGTTTACACCCAGTCATGGAATTGCTAGATCCTCTGGAAGTGTCTTTTTACATTTTGTTTTATGGTTTTTGTTTTTGTTTTTGTTTTTTTTAGACAGTTTCACTCTTGTTGCCCAGGCTGGAGTGCAGTGGTGCCATCTGGGCTCACTGCAACCTCCACCTCCAGGATTCAAGAGATTCCCCAGCCTCAGCCTCCCAAGTAGCTGGGTTACTGGCTCCCACCACCACACTCGGCTAATTTTTATATTTTTAGTAGAGACAGAGTTTCGCTATATTGGCCAGGCTGCTCTTCAACTCCTGACCTCAAGTGACCTACCCACCTCGGCCTCCCAATGTGCTGGGATTACAGGCATGAACCACTGTGCCCGACCTCATTTTATTTTTTGAGGAACTTCCATACTCTTCTCCTCTGTAATGGCTGTACTAATTTACATTCGTATCAGCAGTGTACCAGATGCAACCCTGGTTGACTCAGCAGAGCAAGAGACGTGCAGTAAGAGAGAATTTAGCTTATTTATGCACACGACACTTCCACTCACTCACTCGTTCAGCCAATGCCCCATGCTCTGGCTGTGCAGTGTGGAATCTTTTCCTATTGTTGCCATAACAAATTTCCACAAGCTTCGTGGATGAAAACATGTTTTTCTTAATTATCTCACAGTGCTGTAACTCAGAAGTATGAACTGCATTTCACTGGGCTGATATCAAAGGGACAGTAAGGCTGGATTTCTTTTTAAGGTTCCAAGCAAGAATCTGCTCCTTAACGTTTCCCAGCTCCTAGAGGCTCCCACGTTCCTGGGCCCCTGGTCCCCTTCCTTCTTCCTCCTTCCTCAAAGCCCACAAAGGCTGGTCACGTCTCACATGGCATCATTCAGACTCTTCTTCTTTACCCATACCTTTTTCTCTGAATCCTGCTCTGCCTTCTTCCTCATCTTTTAAGGACTTTGGGATTCTATTGGGGTCACCAAGATAATCCATCTCAATCTCCCTAAAATCATCCAGCGTACCCTCTTTTTAAGTTCAGCTGATTAGCAACCGTAATGCCATCTGCAATCTTCATTCCTCCTTTCCTGTAAAATAACATATTCACAAGCTATGGAGGCTAAGACAGGGACATTTTGGGGGTGGGGCAGCATTCTCCTGCCTTCCACAAATGGTAAACAGGATGCATTTGGCCTCTGCTCTTGGGACGCTGATATTGCAGATGGGTAAATGCGAGGGCAGAGAATGAATGCACAAGGGTACCAATAAATGAATGATCCATTGGGAAGCATCTGTGCACCAAATCTGGGGTTTTTTGTGTGTGTGTGTTTTTTTTGTTTTCTTTTTTTTTTTTGAGTAGAGTCTCTCTCTGTTCCACAGGCTGGAGTGCAGTAGCACAATCTCAGCTCATTGCAACCTCTGCCTCCTGGGTTCATGCAATTCTCCTGCCTCAGCCTACCGAGTAGCTGGGATTACAGCTGTGCGCCACCACACTCGGCTAATTTTTTTGGTATATTTTTTAGTAGAAATGAGGTTTCACCATGTTGTGCAGGCTGTCTCAAACTCCCAATCTCAAGTGATCCCACCGCCTTAGCGTCCCTAAGTGCAAAGATTACAGGCGAGAGCTACTGCGCCCAGCCAGGATTTAAAATAAGTAATAGATAATGCTGAGTATATAATTTCAGGTGACAGAGAAGGTCTCACTGATCAGATAATATTTGTGACCTTAATGGAAAAAATGGATTCAACCCTTGGAAGATTGGCGGAAGGATTTTCCACACTGAGCTCTCAGCCGTGAAGGCACAAAGGTGGAAACATTCTTAGTTCAAGGAAGAGGCTCTGCCTCAAATGCTGGGAATGAGATGGGGAGAATGACAAGACAACTGTAGAGAGATGGAGAGCACACTGGGTACACAGGAAACTAAGGAGGAACAAGGAGCATGTTTTTGATACTCACAGCCCTTGGATTCAACTCAGAGCTAACTAGGAATCCCTACCTGATTAACAGTGACCGACATGAAAATAAGGGAGGCCCAGGTGCGTAACTGGAATCTAGGAGACCGTGGAAAAGGCAATTCCCGCCCCACTGGTGAAACGTAGGGTTGATTTACACACTAAATGAATGAAAGATGGATATAAGCTATGCTTGTGAGGTAGAATCATTTGCAGGGAGGGCTTGCTGGGTTTGATTTTTCCTAGTAGTTTAATCCTTGTTTCATTAATTTCTTTCTGAGATGTGTTTTTTTTCTACATCTAAATCAATACCTGGCAGAGGAGCGATAGACACATGAGGGGTGGTGCAAATGAAGGGACCTAGTATAATATAATATACAAGACTGTGGATGGGGGCTCACACCTGTAACCCAACACTTTGGGAGGCCAAGGCGGGTAGATCACTTAAGGGTAGGAGTTTGAGACCAGCCTGGCCAACATGGTGAAACCCCGTCTGTACTAAAAATACAAAAATTAGCCTGGTGCATTGGCACCTGCCTGTAATCCCAGCGACTGGGGAGGCTGAAGCAGAAGAATGGCTTCAACCCTGGAGGCAGAGGTTGAACTGAGATCGCATCACTGCACTCCAGCCTGACACAGGGGGACTCTGTCTCAAAAAATAAAAATAAAACATACATAATTATGACACACAGAAATTACAAAGGCAACTGGATACCAACCATCATTTTTCTATTTCTCTGTGTTTAATTCTTTGACCCTTTATCTTATCCATTAAACAATCAGGTTAAACCTCTTCCTTATTTGGCTTTCTGTGAGCTTGGGATCATATGGAAAATGTGAAAGCCTCCTGAACCCACCAGCACAGGTCCTGGAATAGAGAACGTGCTCTGTTCATGGCATAAAACTTGCCCCTTCACCCAAATCCCCCAATTCATCTCTACTTCCAATCACCTATGGAGATACAGATAGATCATGGGGAGGTAAACACTAATACTCTTTGGAGTGAGCTCAGATCTTGGACTCAGAGACCAGTGCCAGCACTAGCCCCTGGTCACATTTCGTACTAACTCACAGAAGGACAGGCTGTATTGAAACAATAAACGACGGAGAGGGCGGTCCTTCCCCGTGCTTCTCGGGTGGAATAGCAGCCTAATATATGTCTCAGCAGATCACAAAAAGTAGCATGTTGTTCCTGGGCTACATCATTATTTCATGGCTGTTTGATTTAAGTCAGTTCTACTTCACTTTTTTTATCTTGATTTCATTTTTTCTTTCTTTTCTTGGAGAATGTAATTTTTTTGAGTCAAGAGGGTTGTGGTGGTAGAAACTGTAAAGCACATTCGCTGTGTATCAATCCCAATCCAGTCTTCCCAGAGAAGACTCTAAACACCTCCTGGAATGTACCTGGGCCTATACCAATTCCTATCACTCACCGTCACTCCAGGGAGACAGAACACACAGAGAACACATTACACAGGCAGGTTCATTACTAACAGATAAGCAGCGAGTGACAACAGAAGCCTACATTTCAATGTGAGCCAGTCCCTCAAGGCTCAGAAAAGCTGCTCGAGACATGTGGAGTCACCCCATATGCAGTGTATCTGGGGGAAATCAAAAAGCAGCCCAGCCTGGGTTTTGTACCCTGGAGCCACAGGAAGCACTCAGCTAAAGCACTGCATGACGTCCTCCTCCAGGAAGAACAGGAAGACAGCCCAGGCTGTTCTGGGATGTTCCTCCTGATCTCAGGACTTTGCTGTCTTAGTCCATTTTTGTTGCTCTAAAGGAACACTTGAGCCTGGGTAACTTCTAAAGAAAAGAAATGTGTTTGCCTCACAGTTCTGCAGGCTGTACTGGAAGCATGGCACCAGCATCTATTTCTTGTGACGGCCTCAGGCTGCTCCCGCTCTGGCAGAAGGGAAGGAGGGTCTATCTGTGCAGAGACCACAGAGATCACACGGCAAGAGAGGGAGCAAGGGGGAGGGGGAGCGATGGAGCTTCCAAGTTCTTTTTAACAACCAGCTCTCCAGGAACTAATAGAGGGGGAACTTGCTAACCCCATCTCCTTGGGACAGCATTGATCTGTTCATGATGGATCCACCTCCATGACCCAAACACCTCCCAAGAGGCCCAACCTCCCACCCTGGGGGTTACATTTCAATGTGAGGTTTGAAGTGGTCAAACATCTAAACTAAAGCAGTTGTATCCTCAGCACGTTCTATGGTTACTACAACTGAGAAAGCAGGAGGAAGCTAGGTCTCCCGCCATCTGGGTGCTTGTCCTAAAGAGACGTTGTATGTGGTTACCTGTCAATCAAGAAATGTGAGACAATTCATATAGAGGAACTGCTATGATTAGCTTCTTATTGGTGTCTTGTCTTCCTCCAGGTAACTCCAGATACCTGCACGCTCTGATTGGGACCTCAGTGGTCATCATCCCCTTTGCTATCCTCCTCTTCTTTCTCCTTCATCGCTGGTGTGCCAACAAAAAGAGTAAGTCTCACGAAGCAGAAGCCAGAGAGCTCAGGGCCATGTGGGGAAGCAGGATGGGAGCACTCAGGTGTGTGTTCCTTACAGGCAGGATGGTCCCTGACCCAAGGCAGGAGCCACAGAGGCAGGACTTTCTAGAGAGAGCACCAGACTCCCTGCCCCTGCCTTCAGCTCACAGACCATTGCCTGATTCTGAACCATATCCTCACATCCCCTGCAGCCACTCACATCCAGGAGAAGGTTCCATGACAGGCAGAAAGTGGGAGACAGAATCAATGGGATGGGAACTCAGAGCTATTCATGGGATGGGTCCTTGAGCTCAGAGAGATAGAATGTCTGAGTCTGCTGTTGGCAACTGAGGGACCTCAGGCACCTATGGCCTCCCCCTGCATGTTGGTATCTGCTTATGAAATGAGGACCCAGAAGTGCCCTCCGAGCTGTTTTGACGACTTCCGTCTTCTACAGATGCTGTTGTAATGGACCAAGAGCCTGCAGGGAACAGAACAGTGAACAGGGAGGTAGGTGCTCCTCAGCCCAGCCTCATGGCTAGTCTTATTCCCAAAGAGTCCTGAAAAATGTGAGCACCCTCCCTCACTCAGCATTTCCCTCCCTCCAGGACTCTGATGAACAAGACCCTCAGGAGGTGACATACGCACAGTTGAATCACTGCGTTTTCACACAGAGAAAAATCACTCGCCCTTCTCAGAGGCCCAAGACACCCCCAACAGATACCAGCGTGTAACACGGAACTTCCAAATGCTGAGCGCAGATCCAAAGTTGTCTTCTGTCCACCAGCACCACAGTCAGGCCTTGATGGGATCTTCTAGGGAGACAATAGCCCTGTCTCAAAACCGGGTTGCCAGCTCCCATGTACCAGCAGCTGGAATCTGAAGGCGTGAGTCTGCATCTTAGGGCATCGCTCTTCCTCACACCACGAATCTGAACATGCCTCTCTCTTGCTTACAAATGTCTAAGGTCCCCACTGCCTGCTGGAGAGAAAACACACTCCTTTGCTTAGCCCACAATTCTCCATTTCACTTGACCCCTGCCCACCTCTCCAACCTAACTGGCTTACTTCCTAGTCTACTTGAGGCTGCGATCACACTGAGGAACTCACAATTCCAAACATATAAGAGGCTCCCTCTTAACACGGCACTTAGATACATGCTATTCCACCTTTCCTCATGTTGTTCCACCTTTCCTCAGAGTATCTTTCAGCCTTCTGTCAGCAGTAAAACTTATAAATTTTTTTTATAATTTCAATGTAGTTTTCTATTCTTCAAGTAAACATGTCTGCCCTCATGGTTTCGTCAATGGGACTCTTTTCTTGCCTAAGGCTTCCGGTGTTATCATTACCACGTCCACATAACCCCATCTGTTCTCCGCTGGGTTCTCACCCCTGGACTCTGAGCTTCTGGAAGCAGGGTGGAGCCTGAATTGTCTCTGAGACTCCAGTTTCCATCCAAAGATGCAGCACATAGGAGGTTCCAAGGATGGTGAATCAGATGAACAAGTGATATTCTTACTCTCTGCAGATCTGGAAAGCTGGCAGAGTCATTCCACGATGAAACATTTGTAGAGTCATAGGCCTTGTTAGTCTCATCTCCACAGGGACACGTATCAACACATCATCTTTCATACTACTATAAATAGACAGTCACTCCTCCATATCTCTGGGGTTTACACATGTTTATTGAATCAGCAATAAATCAAAAATATTTTGAGAAAAAAAATCCCCGAAGTTTCAAAAAGCAAAAAACTATGTTGAATCGACACAAATTGAGTGGCGTGTAGGCTGTGTCAGGAATTATAAGTAATCAAGAGATGATTTCATGTATACAGGAGGATGTGCATGGGTTCTATGCAATTGCTATGCTATTTTTTTTTTTGAGACAGTCTCACTCTCTCACCCAGGCTGGAGTGCAGTGGCGTGATCTCAACTCACTGCAACCTCCGCCTTCCAGGTTCAAGCGATTCTCTTCCCTCAGCCTCCTCAGTAGCCTCCCCTAGGATTACAGGCACGTGCCACCCTGCACAGATAAATTTTTTTGTGTGTGTATTTTTAGTAGAGACGGGGTTTCAGAATGTTGGACCAGCTGGTCTTGAACTCCTGACCTTGTGATCTACCCAGCTCAGCCTCCCAAAGTGCTGGGATTACGGGCGTGAGCCACGGTGCCCAGCTTCACTATGCCATTTCATGCAAGGGGCTTGAGCATCTGCAGATTTTGGTATCTGAATGGGGATCCTGGAACCAATCACCCAGGTATAGTGAAGGACCATGGTATATAATTTTTATTTGTCAATCTTAAAAATAAAGCATAAAAAATTTACAACAACAAGATAAAAAATAAGAAGTGTTTTTATAGTGTGAGGATAAGTTTAGATTTATTTTTTCCTACGTGTAACCCTATGGTCCTGTGTTATTTGTTGAGAAAATATTCTATTCCACCTTAAACTACATGGCAGCCTTTGTCAACTATAAAGGGACTGTGTATCCACAGATGTATTTTAGACACAGTTTTCTGTCCAGTGGTTCTCTGTATCCCCTCTCATGAGGATGCTGCATTTTATATAAACTTATAGAACCCCTTAAAATTTGGTAACCTGAGTCCTCTGATTTGTTATTATAGGTTATTTAGTTTGCTTTTTTTTTTTTCTTGAGACAGACTCTTCCTCTGTCACCCAAGCTGGAGTTCAGTGGCTTGAGCTCAGCTCACTGCAACCTCCGCCTCCCAGGTTCAAGCTATTCTGATGCCTCTGGTTTAGTACTAGAAACTCAAGCAGGAAAATTAGAATGGCTTCTTGTCACAATTACTCTGATAATGTTAATAATACCTGTTAGACATTTTGCACATTACATATGAAGAAGAGTTTGAATCTCAGATAAAAACAAAAATACATCAAAAATCTTTAATGTAAGCACAGAATTCAATCATCTCGTGTATGAGAGGTTGGATCTGAGACGTCTTTTGAGTCTGGTCGTAGTGAAGGACGCAAGGTGTCAATTCTAGTGAGAACAATTTCCAGGAAGCCATGTTCCGCTCTTGAGCGAGCACCCACTGGGCCTCATGCAAGGTAGAAAGAGCCTGCGTACGTCACCCTCCCATGATGTGGTCAACATGTAAACTGCATGGGCAGGGCGCCAAATAACATCCTGTGCGCTGCTGAGCTGAGCTGGGGCGCGGCCGCCTGTCTGCACAGACAGCACCATGTCGCTCATGGTCGTCAGCATGGCGTGTGTTGGTGAGTCCTGGAAGGGAATCGAGGGAGGGAGTGCGGGGATGGAGATCGGGGCCCAGAGTTGGAGATATAGGCCTGGAAGTGGAGTTATGGGCCTAGAGATGGAGTGATGGGCCTAGAAGTGGAGATCTGGGCCTGGAGTGGAGATATGGGCCTGGAGGTTGAGATATGGGCCTGCAGTAGAGATATGGGCTTGTAGTGGAGACATGGGCCTGGAGATGGAGATATGGGCCTGGAGATGGAGATATGGGCCTGCAGTAGAGATATGGGCCTGGAGTGGAGATATGGGCCTGGAGTGGAGATATGGATCTGGAGGTGGAGATACGGGCCTGCAGTAGAGATATGGGCCTGGAGTGGAGATATGGGCCAGGAGTGGAGTTATGGGCCTAGAGGTGGATATCTGGGCCTGGAGTGGAGATATGGGCCTAGGAAGGAGATATGGGCCTGGGTGTGGAGATATGGGACTGGAGAGGTGATATGGGCCTGGAGTGGAGATATGGGCTTAGGGTGGAGATCTGGGCCTGGGGCAGAGATATGGGACTGGATTGGAGATATGGGCCTAGGGTGGAAATATCAGCCTGGAGTGGAGATATGGGCTTGTGGTGGGGATCTGGGCCTGGAAACTGGGTCTCTGCACAGCCGACAGCCCTGTTCTTGGGTGCAGGTAGGCACTGAGGGTGAGTTTAACTTCAGCCCAGGAAGGGCCTGGCTGCCAAGACTCACAGCCCAGTGGGGGCAGCAAGGGAGTCCTGGTTTGCCTGCAGATGGATGGTCCATCATGATCTTTCTTTCCAGGGTTCTTCTTGCTGCAGGGGGCCTGGCCACATGAGGGTGAGTCCTTCTCCAAACCTTCGGTTGTCATCTCCCCACATAAGAGGATTTTCCTGAAACAGGAGGGAAGTCCTGTCAGGGAGTCTCTCATAAACTGGGAAGAGAGGACCCTGGGGTGCTCGGCCCACATTTCTGACCTTGCCTCCCTGGCCTCTCAACCCCTTGGCAGAGTCAAGTTCTGTGGGGACCAGGGTTAGACTGGGGTGCTCAAAGCTGGGGTGTGTGGTGGGGAAGTGGTAGGAACAGCAGATCCTCTGAGGACAAAGGTGTTACTCACACACTTCAGCGTTTCCATGATGGTAGGGGCTGCAGTGTGGCTGCTGTCATTCTACCAGAAGAGGTGGGAAACCACAGCCATGGCCCTGACATTCCAAATCCTCTGATGGGGGCTCAGTTGTTTATTTTCGTTCAGGCATCCGCTGATATCCACTCACAAAGGACATGCCCTCCACCTCATGTCTACCCTGTGTTGTTTTATGTGAGTAATCTTACAGTATTAAAATCTAGTAGGAGTCTCTTTACTCAGCACTTGCTCAAAGTTCTCAGCTGAGGCTTTTGTTGTAGGGAGACACCATGTCTTTGCGGGATGGGTCCTTCCTTCAGCCCTGGGCACCAAGGTGTGATAGTAGCCATAGAAACGTGGAAAGCGAGGAGAATCTTCTGAGCACAGGGAGGGAGGGGCAGTTCCACATCCTCCTCTCTAAGGCGGCGCCTCCTTCTCCCCAAGGTGGTCAGGACAAGCCCTTGCTGTCTGCCTGGCCCAGCCTTGTGGTGCCTCTAGGACATGTCATTCTTCGGTGTCACTCTTATCTTGGGTTTAACAACTTCAGTCTGTACAAGGAAGGTGGGGTGCCTGTCCCTGAGCTCTACAACAGAATATTCTGGAACAGCCTTTTCATGGGCCCTGTGACCCCCGCACAACAGGGACATACAGATGTCGGGGTTCACACACACACTCCCCCAGTGGGTGGTCAGCACCCAGCAACCCCCTGGTGATCGTGGTCATAGGTCAGAGGGCTCCTGTCTTGGATTCTCCTTGTCCCACCTCCTGAATCCCAGAGCTTCTGGTGGGCATGTCCTTGAGGGTCCCATCACGCAGGCCCTGACTGTATTTGTGGTAAAGGGGGATTGAATACAGGGAAATGGGTGCTGTGGTGGGAAGAATAATTGTCCCCAGTGATGACTACATTCTAATCCCTGGAGTCTGTGACTATGTATGTTATAGGGGAAGGGACTGAAGGGGAAGATGGAGCTCATGGGGAGACAGCCTGGACTGTCCCACTGGGCTCAGTGTAATCACAAGGGTGCACATGAAAGGAGGAGGAAGAGGGGAGTGGGGATTAGAGCAGTCCAGTGGAAGTCTTCACCAGCTTTGAAGGTGGAGGAAGGCCAAGAGCCATGAATGCAGGTGGCCTATAGAGGCTGGAAAAGTCAAGGAACTGATTCTCCAGAGTCTCCAGAGGAAACGAAGCCCTGCAGATGCCTTGATTTTAGCCCAGGAAAAATAGGGTCCAATTTCTGTCTCCAGTACTGGAAGGTGTCAGTGTGGTCTCTCCTGCTTCCATGCTTCTGATAATTTTGTACAGCAGCAACAGGAAACCAACACTGGAACCCAGGTCAAGGACAAGTTAAGAAACAACCCAAGGAAAGCCAGGCATGGTGGCAGGCGCATGTAATCCTAGCGACTCAGGAGGCTGAGGGCAGGAGAATCACTTGAACCCAGGAAACAGAGGTTGCAGTGAGCCTAGACCACACCACTTCACTCCAGCCTGGGTGAAGGAGTGAGACTCTGTCTCCAAAATTAATTAATTAATTAAAGAAACCAAACAAGGAGAAGGTTGGCTACCCTGAGATCAGCAAGGGTGGGATGATGATGCCACCACCAGGCTCCATCCACATAGGGAGGGGTTGATACTCCTCCAACCAGCACCAGGAGCCAGCCTATGGAAGCTGGCACCATGGAGAAGGCACAGGCATGGCAAGAGTGGCTCCCAGTCCCGACCAGGAACAGGGTGTGTGGACACTGGTGCCTGCCTTATTCATCAGTTCATACCTTCTGCCAAGGATTGCAATTCATCCAAAAGAGATTGAACAAGGCTGATAAGAGCCTGGATGTGCAGCCTATCCTGGTTCCTCTTTCACCCCCACATAAACAGCAGGAAAGACGTTAGTGTGAAATAGATACAACACCCCAAGAGATGAGGCTAAGCCCAGTGGGAAGGGAATCAGAGGCTACTAGAGACAGAGGGACAGAGAAGAGGGAGGGAGACAGATGGAAGGACCTGCACCAGGAGTTATGGGCACAGAAAAGAACATGAAGACACAGAGAGGAAGGAGAGAGACAGACACCAGCAAGGGGAAGCCTCACTCATTCTAGGTGCCATGGATGGGATGATAAAGAGAGACACCTTCTAAACTCACAACCTCTCTTCTTAGGAGTCCACAGAAAACCTTCCCTCCTGGCCCACCCAGGTCCCCTGGTGAAATCAGAAGAGACAGTCATCCTGCAATGTTGGTCAGATGTCAGGTTTGAGCACTTCCTTCTGCACAGAGAGGGGAAGTATAAGGACACTTTGCACCTCATTGGAGAGCACCATGATGGGGTCTCCAAGGCCAACTTCTCCATCGGTCCCATGATGCAAGACCTTGCAGGGACCTACAGATGCTACGGTTCTGTTACTCACTCCCCCTATCAGTTGTCAGCTCCCAGTGACCCTCTGGACATCGTCATCACAGGTGAGAGTGTCCGGACATTCTCATTGTCATTGGGCTGCAGAGTGAATGATCCACGACTTGGAACCCCCAGGTAGTTGTAAGGAAGATGAGCTTGGTATTCTTATGGAGAGAGACTGACTTGCTGAGGTTTGTACCAACAGAGACAGAGAAACAGGAGACACAAGTACAGACCAGGTGTCATAACGGAGGACAGACACAGGGGCCATACAGGGAGTTAGAAAAGACAGAAAGAGTTAAAGGAGACAGACAGACAGACATGTCCCAGAGAGAGGTGTCCCTCCATGCTGACTTTGCTCACAGACCTGGCACAGGATAGAAGTTTCATTTCTGTTTTACCTCCACAAAGTGTTCTCTACCAGGAGAACCCAAGGACACCCATATTTCTGACCTGAGTTGGGCCCTGTGGCCTCAGGCCTTGTGGCACCTACAGGCCATGTTTATTCTGACACCTCTGCCTTCCATGTAATGGAGAGTAACCGTCCCAGGATATCATGGCCCCAGAACACCAACCCCTGTATGCTGTGTGAACTTGTGGTCTCCAGACTGGATTCTGAGGCTCACATTCCAAATAACCCCACATATGAAAGGATCACTGAGAGGCACAGAGAGAAATCAGGAACACCAAAAAGCAAAGACATAAACACACAGAGAATGGGCCAGAGGAAGGAGATTGAGAGACTCACTGACACATAAAGAGAGAGAAAAGAGGGCAGAGGAGTGGTGAGAATGATGGAAGGGAGCAGAGAAAAGCACTAAAATTAGAGTCCTGAGGGAGAGGCACAAGGACATAGAAAGATGGAGATGTGGGGATGAACTGCAGAGATTCCAAAGAGAACTAGAGAGACCGAGAGGCAGAGCAAGACAGATGATAGATGGATAGATATAGATAGATGATAAATAGGTAGATGATAGATAATAGGTTAAAGATACATAGATGATGATTGATTGATTCATTAATAGATAATACATAGAGATGATGATGATGAAGACAGATAGATAATACGTACAGATAGAGAGGCAGACAGAAATCATAGAGAGAGAGATGATACATACATATAAATAACAGATGATTGATGGATAGATAGACAACTGATAGATACATAGATGATATATAGATATAGATGACAGGTAGAGAATTTGTAGATAGGCACCGAATAGATAAATAGATAGATCGACAGATAATAGATAGAAATATGCAGAAAGTTATGAACAGGACACAACGTGAGAAACTTAGAATTTAAAAAAGTAACATCAAGTCAACCAATCCAAGGAGAGTCAGAGAGAATAAAAGAATCCAAAAAGGGAAAACATATCTAGAGGTGGGGAAGCGAGGTCAGAGACCTAGAGAGACAGAGAAGGTGGAAGGAGGAAATAGACATGAAGAGAGATGGGGTGGAGGGTGAGAGAGAGAGAGAGAGAGCATTAGGTCATAGAGCAGGGGAGTGAGTTCTCAGCTCAGGTGAAGGGAGCTGTGACAAGGAAGATCCTCCCTGAGGAAAATGCCTCTTCTCCTTCCAGGTCTATATGAGAAACCTTCTCTCTCAGCCCAGCCGGGCCCCACGGTTTTGGCAGGAGAGAGCGTGACCTTGTCCTGCAGCTCCCGGAGCTCCTATGACATGTACCATCTATCCAGGGAGGGGGAGGCCCATGAACGTAGGTTCTCTGCAGGGCCCAAGGTCAACGGAACATTCCAGGCCGACTTTCCTCTGGGCCCTGCCACCCACGGAGGAACCTACAGATGCTTCGGCTCTTTCCGTGACTCTCCCTATGAGTGGTCAAACTCGAGTGACCCACTGCTTGTTTCTGTCACAGGTGAGGAAACCCCATATCTGTCTCATGTCCTATGATCCTAGAGCCTTAGCTGAGGAGCTTCCTGCTGATGATGGAGAGAAGCATGGACAGATGCAGAGAGAAGACGAAGCTTGGGTGTGAGGGAGGGATCAGGGCACAGGATGGCAGACAGGGCACCTCCAAACCCTCCTACACGGCCTGCATGAAGGCCCGCGGCCAGGGCTCCAGGCACACAGGCAGATGGAGAAAACGGTCAGGAGAGACCCAGAGGAGAGAGACTGGGCTCAGTTTGGGAAGATCAGAGGTTCCCTCAGCCCCTCAACATTATCCATTTCCCAGAAGCCCATCCTGGCCTCTCACCCACACAGGGATGTCATCACCAGCAACCCCTACACCCTTTACTTTTGTTTGAAGAAATATTTATTGAGGATAAATATACCTATATAGCTTACCACCTTTAACATTTTTTTTTTTTTTGAGGCAGAGTCTAGCTCTGTCCCCTATGCTGGAGTGCAGTGGCACAATCTCAGCTCACTGCAATTTCCGCCTCCTGGGTTCAAGCGATTCTCTTGCCTCAGCCACCTGAGTAGCTGGTGCTACAGGCGCGCACCACCACGCCAGGCTACTTTTTGTATTTTTAGTAGAGAGGTGGTTTCACCATGTTGGTCGAGCTGGTCTCCAACTCCTGACCACGTGATCCACCCGCATGTGCCTCCCAAAGTGCTGGGATTACAGGCATGAGCCACCACGCCCAGCCACATTTACCATTTTTAAGTGTAAAGTCTAGTGGTCATAAATACATTTATATATATATATATTTTTTTTTTTTTTTTACCCTCCACCCTTTTCTTCCTGGCCTCTGGAAGCCATCATTCTACTCTCTACCTTCATGAGATCCACCTTTTAGCTCTGTATATGGGTGAGAAATGGGAATCTTTGTAATGACTTCCAGTTCCATCCATGTGGCTGCAAATATCAGGATGTTATTCTTTCTATGGATGAGTAGTCTCCACTGTGCGTATGTACTACATTCTCTCTATCCATTCATCCACTGATGGGCAGGTAGGTTGACTCCACATCTTGGCTACTGTGAACAGTGCTGCACCAATCATACGAGTGCAGATATCACTTCGATATATTGATTTACTTTCCTTTGGATATAAACCCAGTAGTGAAATTGCTGGATACTATGAAAGTTCTCTTTTTAGTTTTTCGTTTGTTGTTTTGTTTTTGTTTTTGAGACAGTTTCCCTCTGTGCCCAGGCTGGAGTACAAGTGATGTCATCTTGGCTCATTGCAACCTCTGCCTCCTGGGTTCAAATGATTTTCCTGCCTCAGCCTCCCTAGTAGCTGGGATTACAGGTGCACGCCACCATGCCTGGCTACTTTTTGTTTTTTTTAGTATAGATGGGGTTTCCCCATGTTGGCTGGGCTGCTCTCAAACTCATGACCTCAACTGAGATGCCCGCCTCAGTCTCCCAAAGTGCTGGGATTACAGGCCTGATCCACCACACCCAACCTCTTTTTAGTTCTTTAAAGGACTTCCATACTTTTCTCCGTAATCGCTGTACTAATTTACACTCCTCCCAACAGGGTACCAGGGTTCTCCTTTCTCTACCACCTTGCCAGCATTTCTTTTGCCTGTCTTGCAGCTAAAAGCCATTTTATTTTATTTCATTTTATTTTGAATGGAGTTTTGCTCTTCTCACCCAGGCAGGAGTGCAGTGGCGCTATCTCGGCTCACCACAACCTCCACCTCCCAGGTTCAAGCGATTCTCCTGCCTCAGCCTCCCGAGTAGCTGGAATTACAGGCACACTCCACCACGCCCGACTAATTTTTGTATTTTTAGTAGAGACAGTGTTTCTCTATGTGGGTCAGACTGGTCTCAAACTCCTGACCTTATGAGATTCACCCACCTCAGGCTCTCAAAGTTCTAGGATGACAGACGTGAGCCACCACGCCCGGCCTAAAAGCCATTTTAATGGGGTGAGATGAAAACTCACTTTGATTTTAATTTGCGTTTCTCTGATGATGAGTGATACTGAGCACTTTTTAGTATGTGGAGAAATTTCATGTCTTCTGCTCCTTTTTCAATTAAATCATTTGTTTTATTGAGTTGTTTGAGCTTCTTATATTTCTAGTTATTAATCCCATCTCAGATGCATAGTTTGCACATATTTGCTCCCAATCTGTGGGTTGTCTCTTCACTTTGTTGGTTTATTTTTAGCAGTGCAGAAGTTGCTTAGTTTGAGGTAATCCCAATGGTCTATTTTTGCTTCGATTACTTGTGTTTTCAAGGTTTAAAACAAAATGTCTTTCTTCAGACAAATGTCCTGGAGCATTTCCCCAATATTTTGTTCTACGTGTTTCATAGGTTCAGGCCTTAGACTCACATCTTTAATCCATTTTCATTTGATTTTTGTGTATGGTGACAGGTAGAGGTGCAGTTTCATTCCTCTGCATGTCGATGTCCAGGTTTCCCTGCACTGTTTATTGAAAAGACTGTCCTTTCCTGATTGTGAGTTCTTGGCACCTTTGTCAAAGTCCATTGGATGGGCTGGGCTTGGTGGCTGACACCTGCAATTTCAGCACTTTGGGAGGCCGAGGCGGGTGGATTACCTGAGGCCAGGAGTTCAAGATCAGTCTGGACGACGTGATGAAACATCGTCTCCACTAAAAATATAAAAATTAGCTGAGCATGGTGGTCAGCACCTGTAATACCACTACTCAGGAGTTTGAGGCAAGAGAATGATTGAACCCAGGAGGCTGAGGTTGCAGTGAACTGAGATTGCACCTCTGCACTCCAGCCTGAGTGACAGAGCAAGACTCCATCTCAAAAGAAAAAATAAAAAACCATTGGATGTAAATGCATGGAATATATCTGTGTTATTCATTCTGCTCCGTTGTTCTATGTCCCTTTCTTTATGCCAATGTCATGCTGTTTTGCTTACTACAGCTCTGTAACATATTTTGAGATCAGGTAGTGTGATGCTCCTGTTTTCTCTTTATACCTTGAAGTCTCAAGACAGTGGGCGTCACATAAAAAAATTATGGAAAAAAGGATCCCAGGACTCCCAGGGCCCAATATTAGATAACAGAGTGTTGGCCATGAACCATCCTCAAAGATTTCCACTGAGTAGAGGACAGACACCCTCATTTCCTCACCTCTCTCCTGTCTCATGTTCTAGGAAACCCTTCAAATAGTTGGCCTTCACCCACTGAACCAAGCTCCAAAACCGGTGAGTACAGAACCCTCTTATATCCGCTTTTGGAAACCTGGGGAGGTGGAAACCTTGGATTCAGGCGTTGACTCAGCATCTCACAGCTCTGACATTGTACCCCTGTCTTCCACCATCTCCGAACTCCAGATACTCCTACAGCGAAAGGGATCTGGGTCCAACACAGGGCTCAGTGAAATCTCTTCATCTCTCATTTTATGGAGCTGAGACTTCCTACAAGCTAGAAGAATGATTGCCAATCTGACATCCTTCTCAGGAAAAATGCAATGTTTGTTCTGCCTGCATTCCTAACTGGAGGATAAATTCCTGGAGACTTGAGAGAGGGAAGGGAAGGGAACATCTGATGAGGGCGAGGTGTTTTAGAGAAGTTCCACTTGCCAAGGAATGAGCTCCTATAGGTCATGAAGCAACCCTGGCTGACTCAGCAGAGAAAGAGCCTTGCTGTAACAGAGAACAGAGCTCATGCACGCACACTTCGACTCACTGACTCATTCAGCCACGGCCCCATGCTCAGGCTGTGCACTGTGGAAGCTTTTCCTATTGTTGCCATAACAAATTTCCACAAGATTCGTGGGTGAAAACAAAACGGTTTTTTAATTATCTTACAGTGCTGTAGCTCAAAGTATGAAGTGCATCTCACTGGGCTAAAATCAAGGTGACAGCAAGGCTGCCTTCCCTCTGAGGATTCCAGGCAAGAATCTGCTTCTCACTTTTCTCAGCTTCTAGAGGCTCCCACATTCCTTCGCTCCTGGTCCCCTTCCTCCTTCCTCAAAGCCCACAAAGACTGGTCACATCTCACATGGCATCACTCAGACCCTTCTTCCTTACCACACCTCTTTCTCTGAATGCTGCTCTCCCTTCTTCCTCATCTTTTGAAAACTTGGGGATTCTATTGGGTTCACCAAGATGAAAATCCATCATAATCTCCCGGAAATCATTCAGGATACCCTTGTTTTAAGTTCAGCTGATTAGCAACCATAATTCCATCTGCAATCTTCATTCCTCCTTTCCATGTAAAATAAGATATTCACAAGCTATGGAGGCTAGGACAGGGACATTTTGGGGTGGGACAGCATTCTCCTGCCTTCCACAAACAGTGAACAAGATGCATTTGGCCTCTGCTCTTTGGACACTGATATTGCAGATGGTTAAATGGGAGGGCAGAAAATGAATGCACAAGTGGACCAATAAATGAATGATCCATTGGGAAGCATCTGTGTATGAAATCTATTTGTTTGTTTCTTCATTTGTTTATTGAGACAGAGTCTCCCTCTGTCTTCCAGGCTACAGTGCAGTGTCACCATCTTGGCTCACTGCAACCTGCACCTTCTGGATCCAAGTGATTCTCCTGCGTCAGCCTCTCAAGTAGCTGGGATTACAGGCAACTGCCACCATGCCCGGCTAATTCTTTTTGTATATTTTTTGTAGAGGATGTTTCACCATCTTCGCCAAGCTTCTCTGAAACTCCCAACCTCAAGTGATCCGACCGTCTCAGCATCCTAAAGTACTGGGATAACTGGCGTGAGCCACTGTGCCCAGCCAGAATTTAAAATAAATAATACATAATGCTGAGTGTATGATTTTGGGTGACAGAGAAGATCTCACTAATCAGATATTTGTGACATTAATGAAAAACACGGATTGAACCCCTGAAAGATTGGCGGAAGGATTTTCCACACACAGCTGTCAGCCGTGAAGGCAGAAAGCTGAAAACAATCTGATGTGGAAGGAAGAGGCTCTGCCTCAAATGCTGGGAATGAGGTGGGGAGAATGACAAGACGACTGTGGAGAGACGGAGAGCACACTGGGTACACAGGAAACTAAGGAGCAACAAGGAGTGTGTGTTTGACACTCACAGCCATTGGATTCACCTCGGGGTAGCCAGGAATCCCTACATGATTAATAGTGACTGACATGAAAATAAGGGAGGCCCAGGTGCGTAACTGGAATCTAGGAGACTGTGGAAAAGGCAATTCCCGCCCCACTGGTGAAATGTGGTGCTGATTTAGACCCTAACTGGGTGAAGCAGATGGATATAAGCTATGCTTGTGAGGTGGAATCATTGGCTGGAAAGGCTTGCTGGGTATGATTTTCCTAGTTGTCTAATCCTCGCTTAATTTCTTTCTGAGCTTTATTCCTACTACACATAAATCAATACCTGGCAAAGGAGTGACAGATATATGAGGGGTGGTGGAAATGAAGGGACCTATTATAGCATAATATACAAGTCTGTGAACGGTGGCTCACGCCTGTAACCCAGCACTGCAGGAGGCCAAGGCGGGTGGATCACATGAAGTCAGCAGTTCGAGACCAGCCTGGCCAACATGGTGAAACCCTGTCTCTAGGAAAAACACAAAAATTAGCCGAGCATGGTGGTGCATCCCTGTAATCCCAGCTCCTACTCTGGAGGATGAAGCAGGAGAATGACTTCAACCCAGGAGGTGGAGGTTGCAGTGAGTGGAGATTGCATCACTGCACTCCAGCCTGGGTGACACAAGGAGACTCCGTCTCAAAAAATAAAAATAAGAAATGCATAAATATAAATATAATATAACACATGCAAATGAGAAAGGGACCTGAATTCCAATCATGATTTTTCTATTTCTCTATAATTACTTCTTTGATCCTTTATCTTATCCATTAGGCAATGAGCCTAAAACCTCTTCCCTATTTGGCTTTCTGTGAGCATGAGATCATATAGAAAATGTGAAAGCCCGCTGAATCCTCCAGCACAGATCCTGGAATACACAAAGTGCTCTGTTCATCACAAGAAAACATGCCCTCTCACCCAAATCCCCCACCTCACCCCTACTTCCAATCATCTGTGGAGATTCAGATAGGCCATGGGGAGGTAAATTCTAATACTCCTTGGAGTGAGTCCAGATCTTGGAATCAGAGATTAGCGTCAGCAGTAGCTCCTGCTCCCCTTTCCTACTAATTCACAGGAGGACAGGTGGTATTGAAGCAATAGATGGCCGAGGGGGTGGTCCTTCCCCCAGCCTCTCGGGTAGAACAGCAACCTAACATGTGTCTCCTGAGATCACAAAGAGTAGCACGTTTCACATGGGCTTCAACACTGTTTCCTGGCCATTTGACATAAGAGAATTCTACTTCGCTTTTTTTATCTTGATTTCACTTTTGTTTCCTTTTCTTGGAGAATGCAAGTTGTTTGACTCAAGAATGCCGTGGATGTAGAAATCCTAAAGCACAGTCGCTGTGTATCAATCCCAGTGCAGTCTTCCCAGAGAAGACTCTAAACACCTCCTGGACTGCACCTGGGCCTATGCCAATTCCTATCACTCACCGTCACTCCAGGGAGACAGAACACACAGAGAATACATTACACAGGCAGGTTCATTACTAACAGATAAGCAGCGAGTGACAACAGAAGCCTACATTTCAATGTGAGCCAGTCCCTCAAGGCTCAGAAAAGCTGCTCGGGACATATGGAGTCACCCCATTTGCAGTGTAGCTGGGGGAAGCCAGAAAGCAGCCCAGCCTGGGTTTTGTACCCTGGAGCCACAGGAAGCACTCAGCTAAAGCACTGCATGACGCCTTCCTCCAGGAAGAACAGGAAGACAGCCCAGGCTGTTCTGAGACATTCCTCCTGATCTCAGGTCGTTGCTGTCTTAGTTTTTTTTTTTGTTGCTCTGAAGGAACACTTGAGCCTCGGTAACTTCTAAAGAAAAGAGATCGGTTTGCCTCACAGTTCTGCAGGCTGTACTGGAAGCATGGCACCAGAATCTATTTCTCGTGATGGCCTCAGGCTGCTCCCACTCTGGCAGAAGGGAAGGAGGGTCTGTCTGTGCAGAGACCACAGAGATCACACGGCAAGAGAGAGAGTAAGGGGGAGAGGGAGCAATGGAGCTTCCAAGCTCTTTTTAACAACCAGCTGTCCAGGAACTAACAGAGGGGGAACTTGCTAACCCCGTCTCCTTGGGACAGCATTGATCTGTTCATGATGGATCCACCTCCATGACCCAAACACCTCTGAAGAGGCCCAACCTCCCACAATGGGGGTGAAATTTCAATGTGAGGTTTGAAGGGGTCAAACATCTCAACTAAAGTAGTTGTATCCTCAGCACGTTCTATGGTTACTATGAGAGCTATAATTGAGAAAGCAGGGGAAAGCTAGGTCTCCCGCCATTTGGGTGCTTGTCCTAAAGAGACGTTGTATGTGGTTACCTGCCAATCAAGAAATGCGAGACAATTCATAAAGAGGAACTGCTATGATTAGCTTCTTATTGGTGTCTCCTCTTCTTCCAGGTAACCCCAGACACCTGCATGTTCTGATTGGGACCTCAGTGGTCAAAATCCCTTTCACCATCCTCCTCTTCTTTCTCCTTCATCGCTGGTGCTCCAACAAAAAAAGTAAGTCTCACGAAGCAGAGGCCAGAGAGCTCAGGGCCATGTGGGGAAGCAGGATGGGAGCACTCAGGTGTGTGTTCCTCACCAGCAGGATGGTCCCTGGCCCAAGACAGGAGCCACAGAGGCAGGACTTTCTAGAGAGAGCACCAGATTCCCTTCCCCTGCCTTCAGCTCACAGACCGTTGCCTGATTCTGAACTGTACCCTCACGTCCCCTGCAGCCACTCACATCCAGGAGAAGGTTCCATGACAGGCAGAAAGTGGGAGATAGAATCAATGGGATGGGAACTCAGAGCTATTCATGGGATGGGTCCTTGAACTCAGAGAGATAGAATGTCTGAGTCTGCTGTTGGCAACTGAGGGACCTCAGGCACCTATGGCCTCCCCCTGTTTGTTGGTATCTGCTTATGAAATGAGGACCCAGAAGTGCCCTCCGAGCTCTTTTGTTGACTTCCGTCTTCTACAGATGCTGCTGTAATGGACCAAGAGCCTGCAGGGAACAGAACAGTGAACAGCGAGGTAGGTGCTCCTCGGCCCAGCCTCGTGGCTAGTCTTATTCCCAAAGAGTCCTGAAAAATGTGAGCACCCTCCCTCACTCAGCATTTCCCTCTCTCCAGGATTCTGATGAACAAGACCATCAGGAGGTGTCATACGCATAATTGGATCACTGTGTTTTCACACAGAGAGAAATCACTCGCCCTTCTGAGAGGCCCAAGACACCCCCAACAGATACCAGCATGTACATAGAACTTCCAAATGCTGAGCCCAGATCCAAAGTTGTCTTCTGTCCACGAGCACCACAGTCAGGCCTTGAGGGGATCTTCTAGGGAGACAACAGCCCTGTCTCAAAACCGGGTTGCCAGCTCCCATGTACCAGCAGCTGGAATCTGAAGGCATCAGTCTTCATCTTAGGGCATCGCTCTTCCTCACACCACGAATCTGAACATGCCTCTCTCTTGCTTACAAATGTCTAAGGTCCCCACTGCCTGCTGGAGAGAAAACACACTCCTTTGCTTAGCCCACAATTCTCCATTTCACTTGACCCCTGCCCACCTCTCCAACCTAACTAGCTTACTTCCTAGTCTACCTGAGGCTGCAATCACACTGAGGAACTCACAATTCCAAACATACAAGAGGCTCCCTCTTAACACAGCACTTAGACACGTGCTGTTCCACCTCCCTTCAGACTATCTTTCAGCCTTCTGCCAGCAGTAAAACTTATAAATTTTTTAAATAATTTCAATGTAGTTTTCCCGCCTTCAAATAAACATGTCTGCCCTCATGGTTTCGGTAACGAGACTCTTCTCTTGCCTAAGGCTTCCGGTGTTATCATTACCATGTCCACATAACCCCATCTGTTCTCCATTGGGTTCTCAGCCCTGGACTCTGAGCTTCTGGAAGCAGAATGGAGCCTGAATTGTCTCTGAGACTCCAATTTCCATCCAAAGATACAGCACATAGGAGGCTCCAAGGATCGTGAATCACATGAACAAGTGATATTCTTACTCTCTGCAGACCTGGAAAGCTGGCAGAGTCATTCCACGATGAAACATTTGTAGAGTCATAGGCCTTGTTAGTCTCATCTCCACGGGGACACATATCAACATATCATCTTTCATAATATAAATATACAGTCGGTCCTCCATATCTGTGGGGTTTACAGGTGTTTATTGAACCAACAATAAATCAAAAATATTTTGAGAAAAAAATCCCCGAAGTTTCAAGAAGCAAAAAACTATGTTGAATCGACACAAATTGAGTGGCGTGTAGGCTGTGTCAGGAATTATAAGTAATCAAGAGATGATTTCATGTATACAGGAGGATGTGCATGGGTTCTATGCAATTGCTATGCTATTTTTTTTTTTTGAGACAGTCTCACTCTCTCACCCAGGCTGGAGTGCAGTGGCGTGATCTCAACTCACTGCAACCTCCGCCTCCCAGGTTCAAGCGATTGTCTTCCCTCAGCCTCCCCAGTAGCCTCCCCTAGGATTACAGGCACGTGCCACCATGCACAGATAAATTTTTTTGTGTGTGTATTTTTAGTAGAGACGGGGTTTCAGAATGTTGGACCAGCTGGTCTTGAACTCCTGACCTTGTGATCTACCCAGCTCAGCCTCCCAAAGTGCTGGGATTACGGGCGTGAGCCACGGTGCCCAGCTTCACTATGCCATTTCATGCAAGGGGCTTGAGCATCTGCAGATTTTGGTATCTGAATGGGGATCCTGGAACCAATCACCCAGGTATAGTGAAGGACCATGGTATATAATTTTTATTTGTCAATCTTAAAAATAAAGCATAAAAAATTTACAACAACAAGATAAAAAATAAGAAGTGTTTTTATAGTGTGAGGATAAGTTTAGATTTATTTTTTCCTACGTGTAACCCTATGGTCCTGTGTTATTTGTTGAGAAAATATTCTATTCCACCTTAAACTACATGGCAGCCTTTGTCAACTATAAAGGGACTGTGTATCCACAGATGTATTTTAGACACAGTTTTCTGTCCAGTGGTTCTCTGTATCCCCTCTCATGAGGATGCTGCATTTTATATAAACTTATAGAACCCCTTAAAATTTGGTAACCTGAGTCCTCTGATTTGTTATTATAGGTTATTTAGTTTGCTTTTTTTTTTTTCTTGAGACAGACTCTTCCTCTGTCACCCAAGCTGGAGTTCAGTGGCTTGAGCTCAGCTCACTGCAACCTCCGCCTCCCAGGTTCAAGCTATTCTGATGCCTCTGGTTTAGTACTAGAAACTCAAGCAGGAAAATTAGAATGGCTTCTTGTCACAATTACTCTGATAATGTTAATAATACCTGTTAGACATTTTGCACATTACATATGAAGAAGAGTTTGAATCTCAGATAAAAACAAAAATACATCAAAAATCTTTAATGTAAGCACAGAATTCAATCATCTCGTGTATGAGAGGTTGGATCTGAGACGTCTTTTGAGTCTGGTCGTAGTGAAGGACGCAAGGTGTCAATTCTAGTGAGAACAATTTCCAGGAAGCCATGTTCCGCTCTTGAGCGAGCACCCACTGGGCCTCATGCAAGGTAGAAAGAGCCTGCGTACGTCACCCTCCCATGATGTGGTCAACATGTAAACTGCATGGGCAGGGCGCCAAATAACATCCTGTGCGCTGCTGAGCTGAGCTGGGGCGCGGCCGCCTGTCTGCACAGACAGCACCATGTCGCTCATGGTCGTCAGCATGGCGTGTGTTGGTGAGTCCTGGAAGGGAATCGAGGGAGGGAGTGCGGGGATGGAGATCGGGGCCCAGAGTTGGAGATATAGGCCTGGAAGTGGAGTTATGGGCCTAGAGATGGAGTGATGGGCCTAGAAGTGGAGATCTGGGCCTGGAGTGGAGATATGGGCCTGGAGGTTGAGATATGGGCCTGCAGTAGAGATATGGGCTTGTAGTGGAGACATGGGCCTGGAGATGGAGATATGGGCCTGGAGATGGAGATATGGGCCTGCAGTAGAGATAGGGGCCTGGAGTGGAGATATGGGCCTGGAGTGGAGATATGGGCCTGAAGTGGAGATATGGGCCTGGAGGTGGAGATATGGGCCTGGAGGTGGAGATATGGGCCTGGAGTGGAGATATGGGTCTGGAGGTGGAGATACGGGCCTGCAGTAGAGATATGGGCCTGGAGTGGAGATATGGGCCAGGAGTGGAGTTATGGGCCTAGAGGTGGATATCTGGGCCTGGAGTGGAGATATGGGCCTAGGAAGGAGATATGGGCCTGGGTGTGGAGATATGGGACTGGAGAGGTGATATGGGCCTGGAGTGGAGATATGGGCTTAGGGTGGAGTTCTGGGCCTGGGGCGGAGATATGGGACTGGATTGGAGATAGGGGCCTAGGGTGGAGATCTGAGCCTGGATTGGCGATATGGGCCTAGGGTGGAAATATCAGCCTGGAGTGGAGATATGGGCTTGGGGTGGGGATATGGGCCTGGAAACTGGGTCTCTGCACAGCCGACAGCCCTGTTCTTGGGTGCAGGTAGGCACTGAGGGTGAGTTTAACTTCAGCCCAGGAAGGGCCTGGCTGCCAAGACTCACAGCCCAGTGGGGGCAGCAAGGGAGGGCTGGTTCGCCTGCAGATGGATCGTCCATCATGATCTTTCTTTCCAGGGTTCTTCTTGCTGCAGGGGGCCTGGCCACATGAGGGTGAGTCCTTCTCCAAACCTTCGGGTGTCATCTCCCCACATAAGAGGATTTTCCTGAAACAGGAGGGAAGTCCTGTCGGGGAGTCTCTCATAAACTAGGAAGAGAGGACCCTGGGGTGCTCAGCCCACATTTCTGACCTCGCCTCCCTGGCCTCTCAACCCCTTGGCAGAGTCAAGTTCTGTGGGGACCAGGGTTAGACTGGGGTGCTCAAAGCTGGGGTGTGTGGTTGGGAAGTGGTAGGAACAGCAGATCCTCTGAGGACAAAGGTGTTACTCACACACTTCAGCGTTTCCATGATGGTAGGGGCTGCAGTGTGGCTGCTGTCATTCTACCAGAAGAGGTGGGAAACCACAGCCATGGCCCTGACATTCCAAATCCTCTGATGGGGGCTCAGTTGTTTATTTTCGTTCAGGCATCCGCTGATATCCATTCACAAAGGACATGCCCTCCACCTCATGTCTACCCTGTGTTGTTTTATGTGAGTAATCTTACAGTATCAAAATCTAGTAGGAGTCTCTTTACTCAGCACTTGCTCAAAGTTCTCAGCTGAGGCTTTTGTTGTAGGGAGACACCATGTCTTTGCGGGATGGGTCCTTCCTTCAGCCCTGGGCACCAAGGTGTGATAGTAGCCATAGAAACGTGGAAAGCGAGGAGAATCTTCTGAGCACAGGGAGGGAGGGGCAGTTCCACATCCTCCTCTCTAAGGCGGCGCCTCCTTCTCCCCAAGGTGGTCAGGACAAGCCCTTGCTGTCTGCCTGGCCCAGCCTTGTGGTGCCTCTAGGACATGTCATTCTTCGGTGTCACTCTTATCTTGGGTTTAACAACTTCAGTCTGTACAAGGAAGGTGGGGTGCCTGTCCCTGAGCTCTACAACAGAATATTCTGGAACAGCCTTTTCATGGGCCCTGTGACCCCCGCACAACAGGGACATACAGATGTCGGGGTTCACACACACACTCCCCCAGTGGGTGGTCAGCACCCAGCAACCCCCTGGTGATCGTGGTCATAGGTCAGAGGGCTCCTGTCTTGGATTCTCCTTGTCCCACCTCCTGAATCCCAGAGCTTCTGGTGGGCATGTCCTTGAGGGTCCCATCACGCAGGCCCTGACTGTATTTGTGGTAAAGGGGGATTGAATACAGGGAAATGGGTGCTGTGGTGGGAAGAATAATTGTCCCCAGTGATGACTACATTCTAATCCCTGGAGTCTGTGACTATGTATGTTATAGGGGAAGGGACTGAAGGGGAAGATGGAGCTCATGGGGAGACAGCCTGGACTGTCCCACTGGGCTCAGTGTAATCACAAGGGTGCACATGAAAGGAGGAGGAAGAGGGGAGTGGGGATTAGAGCAGTCCAGTGGAAGTCTTCACCAGCTTTGAAGGTGGAGGAAGGCCAAGAGCCATGAATGCAGGTGGCCTATAGAGGCTGGAAAAGTCAAGGAACTGATTCTCCAGAGTCTCCAGAGGGAACAAAGCCCTGCAGATGCCTTGATTTTAGCCCAGGAAAAATAGGGTCCAATTTCTGTCTCCAGTACTGGAAGGTGTCAGTGTGGTCTCTCCTGCTTCCATGCTTCTGATAATTTTGTACAGCAGCAACAGGAAACCAACACTGGAACCCAGGTCAAGGACAAGTTAAGAAACAACCCAAGGAAAGCCAGGCATGGTGGCAGGTGCATGTAATCCTAGCGACTCAGGAGGCTGAGGGCAGGAGAATCACTTGAACCCAGGAAACAGAGGTTGCAGTGAGCCTAGACCACACCACTTCACTCCAGCCTGGGTGAAGGAGTGAGACTCTGTCTCCAAAATTAATTAATTAATTAAAGAAACCAAAGAAGGAGAAGGTTGGCTACCCTGAGATCAGCAAGGGTGGGATGATGATGCCACCACCAGGCTCCATCCACATAGGGAGGGGTTGATACTCCTCCAACCAGCACCAGGAGCCAGCCTATGGAAGCTGGCACCATGGAGAAGGCACAGGCATGGCAAGAGTGGCTCCCAGTCCCCACCAGGAACAGGGTGTGTGGACACTGGTGCCTGCCTTATTCATCAGTTCATATCTTCTGCCAAGGATTGCAATTCATCCAAAAGAGATTGAACCAGGCTGATAAGAGCCTGGATGTGCAGCCTATCCTGGTTCCTCTTTCACCCCCACATAAACAGCAGGAAAGACATTAGTGTGAAATAGATACAACACCCCAAGAGATGAGGCTAAGCCCAGTGGGAAGGGAATCAGAGGCTACTAGAGACAGAGGGACAGAGAAGAGGGAGGGAGACAGATGGAAGGACCTGCACCAGGAGTTAAGGGCACAGAAAAGAACATGAAGACACAGAGAGGAAGGAGAGAGACAGACACCAGCAAGGGGAAGCCTCACTCATTCTAGGTGCCATGGATGGGATGATAAAGAGAGACACCTTCTAAACTCACAACCTCTCTTCCTAGGAGTCCACAGAAAACCTTCCCTCCTGGCCCACCCAGGTCGCCTGGTGAAATCAGAAGAGACAGTCATCCTGCAATGTTGGTCAGATGTCAGGTTTGAGCACTTCCTTCTGCACAGAGAAGGGAAGTTTAAGGACACTTTGCACCTCATTGGAGAGCACCATGATGGGGTCTCCAAAGCCAACTTCTCCATCGGTCCCATGATGCAAGACCTTGCAGGGACCTACAGATGCTACGGTTCTGTTACTCACTCCCCCTATCAGTTGTCAGCTCCCAGTGACCCTCTGGACATCGTCATCACAGGTGAGAGTGTCCGGACATTCTCATTGTCATTGGGCTGCAGAGTGAATGATCCACGACTTGGAACCCCCAGGTAGTTGTAAGGAAGATGAGCTTGGTATTCTTATGGAGAGAGACTGACTTGCTGAGGTTTGTACCAACAGAGACAGAGAAACAGGAGACACAAGTACAGACCAGGTGTCATAACGGAGGACAGACACAGGGGCCATACAGGGAGTTAGAAAAGACAGAAAGAGTTAAAAGAGACAGACAGACAGACATGTCCCAGAGAGAGGTGTCCCTCCATGCTGACTTTGCTCACAGACCTGGCACAGGTTAGAAGTTTCATTTCTGTTTTACCTCCACAAAGTGTTCTCTACCAGGAGAACCCAAGGACACCCATATTTCTGACCTGAGTTGGGCCCTGTGGCCTCAGGCCTTGTGGCACCTACAGGCCATGTTTATTCTGACACCTCTGCCTTCCATGTAATGGAGAGTAACCGTCCCAGGATATCATGGCCCCAGAACACCAACCCCTGTATGCTGTGTGAACTTGTGGTCTCCAGACTGGATTCTGAGGCTCACATTCCAAATAACCCCACATATGAAAGGATCACTGAGAGGCACAGAGAAAAATCAGGAACACCAAAAAGCAAAGACATAAACACACGGAGAATGAGCCAGAGGAAGGAGATTGAGAGACTCACAGACACATAAAGAGAGAGAAAAGAGGGCAGAGGAGTGGTGAGAATGATGGCAGGGAGCAGAGAAAAGCACTAAAATTAGAGTCCTGAGAGAGAGGCACAAGGACATAGAAACATGGAGATGTGGGGATGAATTGCAGAGATTCCAAAGAGAGCTAGAGAGACCGAGAGGCAGAGCAATACAGATGATAGATGGATAGATATAGATAGATGATAAATAGGTAGATGATAGATAATAGGTTAAAGATACATAGATGATGATTGATTGATTCATTAATAGATAATACATAGAGATGATGATGATGAAGACAGATAATACGTACAGATAGAGAGGCAGACAGAAATCATAGAGAGAGAGATGATACATACATATAAATAACAGATGATTGATGGATAGATAGACAACTGATAGATACATAGATGATATATAGATATAGATGACAGGTAGAGAATTTGTAGATAGGCACCGAATAGATAAATAGATAGATCGACAGATAATAGATAGAAATATGCAGAAAGTTATGAACAGGACACAACGTGAGAAACTTAGAATTTAAAAAAGTAACATCAAGTCAACCAACCCAAGGAGAGTCAGAGAGAATAAAACAATCCAAAAACGGAAAACATATCTAGAGGTGGGGAAGCGAGGTCAGAGACCTAGAGAGACAGAGAAGGTGGAAGAAGGAAATAGATATGAAGAGAGATGGGGTGGAGGGTGAGAGAGAGAGAGAGAGAGCATTAGGTCATAGAGCAGGGGAGTGAGTTCTCAGCTCAGGTGAAGGGAGCTGTGACAAGGAAGATCCTCCCTGAGGAAAATGCCTCTTCTCCTTCCAGGTCTATATGAGAAACCTTCTCTCTCAGCCCAGCCGGGCCCCACGGTTCTGGCAGGAGAGAGCGTGACCTTGTCCTGCAGCTCCCGGAGCTCCTATGACATGTACCATCTATCCAGGGAGGGGGAGGCCCATGAATGTAGGTTCTCTGCAGGGCCCAAGGTCAACGGAACATTCCAGGCCGACTTTCCTCTGGGCCCTGCCACCCACGGAGGAACCTACAGATGCTTCGGCTCTTTCCGTGACTCTCCATACGAGTGGTCAAACTCGAGTGACCCACTGCTTGTTTCTGTCATAGGTGAGGAAACCCCATATCTGTCTCATGTCCTATGATCCTAGAGCCTTAGCTGAGGAGCTTCCTGCTGATGATGGAGATAAGCATGGACAGATGCAGAGAGAAGACGAAGCTTGGGTGTGAGGGAGGGATCAGGGCACAGGATGGCAGACAGGGCACCTCCAAACCCTCCTACACGGCCTGCATGAAGGCCCGCGGCCAGGGCTCCAGGCACACAGGCAGATGGAGAAAGCGGTCAGGAGAGACCCAGAGGAGGGAGACTGGGCTCAGTTTGGGAAGATCAGAGGTTCCCTCAGCCCCTCAACATTACCCATTTCCCAGAAGCCCATCCTGGCCTCTCACCCACACAGGGATGTCATCACCAGCAACCCCTACACCCTTTACTTTTGTTTGAAGAAATATTTATTGAGGATAAATATACCTATATAGCTTACCACCTTTAACATTTTTTTTTTTTTTGAGGCAGAGTCTAGCTCTGTCCCCTATGCTGCAGTGCAGTGGCACAATCTCAGCTCACTGCAACTTCCGCCTCCTGGGTTCAAGTGATTCTCCTGCCTCAGCCACCTGAGTAGCTGGTGCTACAGGCGCGCACCACCACGCCAGGCTACTTTTTGTATTTTTAGTAGAGAGGTGGTTTCACCATGTTGGTCGAGCTGGTCTCCAACTCCTGACCACGTGATCCACCCGCATCTGCCTCCCAAAGTGCTGGGATTACAGGCATGAGCCACCACTCCCAGCCACATTTACCATTTTTAAGTGTAAAGTCTAGTGGTCATAAATACATTTATAAATATATATATATATATATGTATGTATATATATATACACACACATATATATACATATATATATGTGTGTATATATATATATATATATATATATATATATATATATATATATATTTTTTTTTTTTTTTTTACCCTCCACCCTTTTCTTCCTGGCCTCTGGAAGCCACCATTCTACTCTCTACCTTCATGAGATCCACCTTTTAGCTCTGTATATGGGTGAGAAATGGGAATCTTTGTAATGACTTGCAGTTCCATCCATGTGGCTGCAAATATCAGGATGTTATTCTTTCTATGGATGAGTAGTCTCCACTGTGCGTATGTACTACATTCTCTCTATCCATTCATCCACTGATGGGCAGGTAGGTTGACTCCACATCTTGGCTACTGTGAACAGTGCTGCACCAATCATACGAGTGCAGATATCACTTCGATATATTGATTTACTTTCCTTTGGATATAAACCCAGTAGTGAAATTGCTGGATACTATGAAAGTTCTCTTTTTAGTTATTCGTTTGTTGTTTTGTTTTTGTTTTTGAGACAGTTTCCCTCTGTGCCCAGGCTGGAGTACAAGTGATGTCATCTTGGCTCATTGCAACCTCTGCCTCCTGGGTTCAAATGATTTTCCTACCTCAGCCTCCCTAGTAGCTGGGATTACAGGTGCACGCCACCATGCCTGGCTACTTTTTGGTTTTTTTAGTATAGATGGGGTTTCCCCATGTTGGCTGGGCTGCTCTCAAACTCATGACCTCAACTGAGGTGTCCGCCTCGGTCTCCCAAAGTGCCGGGATTACAGGCATGATCCACCTCACCCAACCTCTTTTTAGTTCTTTAAAGGACTTCCACACTTTTCTCCGTAAAGGCTGTACTAATTTACACTCCTACCAACAGGGTATTAGGGTTCTCCTTTCTCTACCACTTTGGCAGGATTTCCTTTGCCTGTCTTGCAGCTAAAAGCCATTTTACTTTATTTCATTTTATTTTGAGATGGAGTTTCGCTCTTGTCACCCAGGCTGGAGTGCAGTGGTGCGATCTCGGCTCACCACAACCTCCACCTCCCAGGTTCAAGCGATTCTCCTGCCTCAGCCTCCCGAGTAGCTGGAATTACAGGCACACGCCACCACGCCCGACTAATTTTTGTATTTTTAGTAGAGACAGTGTTTCTCCATGTGGGTCAGACTGGTCTCAAACTCCCGACCTTATGAGATTCACCCACCTCAGGCTCTCAAAGATCTAGGATGACAGACGTGAGCCACCACGCCCGGCCTAAAAGCCATTTTAATGGGGTGAGATGAAAACTCACTTTGATTTTAATTTGCGTTTCTCTGATGATGAGTGATACTGAGCAGTTTTTCGTATGTGGGGAAATTTCATGTCTTTTGCTCCTGTTTCAATTAAATCATTTGTTTTATTGAGTTGTTTGAGCTTCTTATATTTCTAGTTATTAATCCCATCTCAGATGCATAGTTTGCACATATTTGCTCCCAATCTGTGGGTTGTCTCTTCACTTTGTTGGTTTATTTTTAGCGGTGCAGAAGTTGCTTAGCTTGAGGTAATCCCAATGGTCTATTTTTGCTTCGATTACTTGTGTTTTGAAGGTTTAAAACAAAATGTCTTCCTTCAGACAAATGTCCTGGAGCATTTCCCCAATATTTTCTTCTACGTGTTTCATAGGTTCAGGCCTTAGACTCACATCTTTAATCCATTTTCATTTGATTTTTGTGTATGGTGACAGGTAGAGGTGCAGTTTCATTCCTCTGCATGTAGATGTCCAGGTTTCCCTGCACTGTTTATTGAAAAGACTGTCCTTTCCTGATTGTGAGTTCTTGGCACCTTTGTCAAAGTCCATTGGATGGGCTGGGCATGGTGACTGACACCTGCAATTTCAGCACTTTGGGAGCCCAAGGCGGGTGGATCACCTGAGGCCAGGAGTTCAAGATTAGTCTGGCCGACGTGATGAAACATTGTCTCCACTAAAAATATATAAATTAGCTGAGCATGGTGGTCAGCACCTATAATACCACTACTCAGGAGTTTGAGGCCAGAGAATTGATTGAACCCAGGAGGCTGTGGTGGCAGTGAACCGAGATTGCACCTCTGCACTCCAGCCTGGGTGACAGAGCGAGACTCCATCTCAAAAGAAAAAAGAAAAAAACATTGGATGTAAATGCATGGATTATATTTGTGTTGTTCATTCTGCTCCATTGTTCTATGTGCCTTTCTTCATGCCAACATCATGCTGTCTTGCTTACTACAGCTCTGTAACATATTTTGAGATCAGGTAGTGTGATGCTCCTGTTTTCTCTTTATACCTTGAAGTCTCAAGACAATGGGCGTCACATACAAAAATTATGGAAAAAAGGATCCCAGGACTCCCAGGGCCCAATATTAGATAACAGAGTGTTGGCCATGAACCAACCTCAAAGATTTCCATTGAGTAGAGGACAGACACCCTCATTTCCTCACCTCTCTCCTGTCTCATGTTCTAGGAAACCCTTCAAATAGTTGGCCTTCACCCACTGAACCAAGCTCTAAAACCGGTGAGTACAGAACCCTCTTATATCCGCTTTTGGAAACCTGGGGAGGTAGAAACCTTCGATGCAGGCATTGACTCAGCATCTCGCAGCTCTGACATTGTACGCCTGTCTTCTACCATCTCCGAACTCCAGATACTCCAACAGCGAAAGGGATCTGGGCCCAACCTAGGGCTCAGTGAAATCTCTTAATCTCTCATTTTATGGAGCTGAGACCTCCTACAAGCTAGAAGAATGATTGCCAATCTGACATCCTTCTCAGGAAAAATGCAATGTTTGTTCTGCCTGCATTCCTAACTGGAGGATAAATTCCTGGGGGCTTGAGAGAGGGAAGGGAAGGGAACATCTGATGAGGGCGAGGTGTTTTAGAGAAGTTCCACTTGCCAAGGAATGAATTACTGTTGGTCATGAAGCAACCCTGGCTGACTCAGCAGAGCAACAGCCTTGCCGTAACAGAGAACGGAGCTCATGCACGCACACTTCGACTCACTGACTCATTCAGCCACGGCCCCATGCTCAGGCTGTGCAGTGCGGAACCTTTTCCTATTGTTGCCATAACAAATTTCCACAAGATTCGTGGGTGAAAACAAAACGGTTTTTTAATTATCTTACAGTGCTGTAGCTCAAAGTAGGAAGTGCATCTTACTGGGCTAAAATCAAGGTGACAGCAAGGCTGCCTTCCCTCTGAGGATTCCAGGCAAGAATCTGCTTCTCACTTGTCCCAGCTTCTAAAGGCTCCCAGTTCCTTGGCTCCTGGTCCCCTTCCTCCTTCCTCAAAACCCACAAAGACTGGTCACATCTCACATGGCATCACTCAGTGCCTTCTTCCTTACCACACCTCTTTCTCTGAATGCTGCTCTCCCTTCTTCCTTATCTTTTGAAAACTTGGGGATTCTATTGGGTTCACCAAGATGAAAATCCCTCATAATCTCCTGGAAATCATCCAGGATACCCTTGTTTTAAGTTCAGCTGATTAGCAACCGTAATTCCATCTACAATCTTCATTCCTCCTTTCCATGTAAAATAACATATTCACAAGGTATGGAGGCTAGGACAGGGACATTTTGGGGTGGGACAGCATTCTCCTGCCTTCCACAAACAGTGAACAAGATGCATTTGGCCTCTGCCCTTGGGACACTGATATTGCAGATGGTTAAATGGGAGGGCAGAAAATGAATGCACAAGTGGATCTATAAATGAATGATCCATTGGGAAGCATCTGTGCATGAAATCTATTTTTTGTTTGTTCTTTTGTTTATTGAGACAGAGTTGCCCTCTGTCTTCCAGGCTACAGTGCAGTGTCACGATCTTGGCTCACTGCAACCTGCTTCTCCTGGATTCAAGTGATTCTCCTGCCTCCGCCTCTCGAGTAGCTGGGATTACAGGCAACTGCCACCGTGCCCGGCTAATTCTTTTTGTATATTTTTTGTAGAGAGGATGTTTCACCACGTTGGCCAAGCTTGTCTGAAACTCCCAACCTCAAGTGATCCGACCGTCTCAGCATGCCAAAGTAATGGGACTACAGGCGTGAGCCACTGTGCCCAGCCAGAATTCAAAATCAATAATAGATAATGCTGAGTGTATGATTTCAGGTGACAAAGAAGGTCTCACTATTCAGATATTTGTGACATTAATGAAAAACACGGATTGAACCCCTGAAAGATTGGCGGAAGGATTTTGCACACACAGCTGTCAGCCGTGAAGGCACAAAGGTGAAAACAATCTGATGTGGAAGGAAGAGGCTCTTCCTCAAATGCTGGGAATGATGTGGGGAGAATGACAAGATGACTGTGGAGAGACGGAGAGCACACTGGGTACACAGGAAACTAAGGAGGAACAAGGAGTGTGTGTTTGACACTCACAGCCATTGGATTCACCTCGGGGTAGCCAGGAATCCCTACATGATTAATATGACTGACATGAAAATAAGGGAGGCTCAGTTGCATAACTGGAATCTAGGAGACCGTGGAAAAGGCAATTGCCGCCCCACTGGTGAAATGTGGTGCTGATTTAGACACTAAATGAATGAAGTAGATGGATATAAGATAGGTTTGTGAGGTAGAATCATTGACTGGAAAGGCTTGCTGGGTTTGATTTTCCTACTTGTTTAATCCTCGCTTAATTAATTTCTTTCTGAGATTTATTCATCCTACACATAAATCAATACCTGGCAAAGGAGTGACAGATATATGAGGGGTGGTGGAAATGAAGAGACCTATTATAGCATAATATACAAGTCTGTGAACGGTGGCTCACGCCTGTAACCCAGCACTGCAGGAGGCCAAGGCGGGTGGATCACATGAAGTCAGCAGTTCGAGACCAGCCTGGCCAACATGGTGAAACCCTGTCTCTAGGAAAAACACAAAAATTAGCCGAGCATGGTGGTGCATCCCTGTAATCCCAGCTCCTACTCTGGAGGATGAAGCAGGAGAATGACTTCAACCCAGGAGGTGGAGGTTGCAGTGAGTGGAGGTTGCATCACTGCACTCCAGCCTGGGTGGCACAAGGAGACTCCGTCTCAAAAAATAAAAATAAGAAATGCATAAATATAAATATAATATAACACACGCAAATGACAAAGGGACCTGAATTCCAATCATGATTTTTCTATTTCTCTGTAATTACTTCTTTGATCCTTTATCTTATCCATTAGGCAATGAGCCTAAAACCTCTTCCCTATTTGGCTTTCTGTGAGCATGAGATCATATAGAAAATGTGAAAGTCCGCTGAATCCTCCAGCACAGATCCTGGAATAGAGAAAGTGCTCTGGTCATCACAAAAAAAACTTGCCCACTCACCCAAATCCCCCACCTCACCCCTACTTCCAATCACCTGTGGAGATTCAGGTAGACCATGGGGAGGTAAACATTAACACTCCTTGGAGTGAGTCCAGATCTTGGAATCAGAGATCAGCGACAGCACTAGCTCCTGCTCCCCTTTCCTACTAATTCACAGGAGGACAGGTGGTATTGAAGCAATAGATGGCCGAGGGGGTGGTCCTTCCCCCAGCCTCTCGGGTAGAACAGCAGCCTAATATGTGTCTCCCGAGATCACAAAGAGCAGCAGGTTTCACACGGGCTTCAACACTATTTCCTGGCCGTTTGACATAAGAGAATTCTATTTCGCTTTTTTTATCTTGATTTCACTTTTGTTTTCTTTCCTTGGAGAATGCAAGTTGTTTGATTCAAGAATGCTGTGGATGTAGAAACCCTAAAGCACATTCGCTGTGAATCAATCCCAGTCCAGTCTTCCCAGAGAAGACTCTAAACACCTCCTGGACTGCACCTGGGCCTATGCCAATTCCTATCACTCACCGTCACTCCAGGGAGACAGAACACACAGAGAATACGTTACATAGGCAGGTTCATTACTAACAGATAAGCAGCGAGTGACAACAGAAACCTATATTTCAATGTGAGCCAGTCCCTCAAGGCTCAGAAAAGCTCCTCGGGACATATGGAGTCACCCCATTTGCAGTGTAGCTGCGGGAAGCCAGAAAGCAGCCCAGCCTGGGTTTTGTACCCTGGAGCCACAGGAAGCACTCAGCTAAAGCACTGCATGACGTCCTCCAGGAAGAACAGGAAGACAGCCCAGGGTGTTCTGAGACGTTCCTCCTGATCTCAGGAAGTTGCTGTCTTAGGCCATTTTTGTTGCTCTAAAGGAACACTTGAGCCTCGGTAACTTCTAAAGAAAAGAGATTGGTTTGCCTCACCGTTCTGCAGGCTGTACTGGAAGCATGGCACCAGCATCTATTTCTCGTGACGGCCTCAGGCTGCTCCCACTCTGGCAGAAGGGAAGGAGGGTCTGTCTGTGCAGAGACCACAGAGATCACACGGCAAGAGAGGGAGCAAGGGGGAGGGGGAGTGATGGAGCTTCCAAGCTCTTTTTAACAACCAGCTCTCCGGGAACTAATAGAGGGGGAACTTGCTAACCCCGTCTCCTTGGGACAGCATTGATGTGTTCATGATGGATCCACCTCCATGACCCAAACACCTCTCAAGAGGCCCAACCTCCCACAGTGGGGGTGAAATTTCAATGTGAGGTTTGAAGGGGTCAAACATCTCAACTAAAGTAGTCGTATCCTCAGCACGTTCTATGGTTACTATGAGAGCTATAACTGAAAAAGCAGGAGAAAGCTGGGTCTCCCGCCATCTGGGTGCTTGTCCTAAAGAGATGTTTTATGTGGTTACCTGTCAATCAAGAAATGCGAGACAATTCATAAAGAGGAACTGCTAAGATTAGCTTCTTATTGGTGTCTCATCTTCTTCCAGGTAACCCCCGACACCTGCACATTCTGATTGGGACCTCAGTGGTCATCATCCTCTTCATCCTCCTCTTCTTTCTCCTTCATCGCTGGTGCTCCAACAAAAAAAGTAAGTCTCACGAAGCAGAGGCCAGAGAGCTCAGGGCCATGTGGGGAAGCAGGATGGGAGCACTCAGGTGTGTGTTCCTCACAAACAGGATGGTCCCTGGCCCAAGGCAGCAGCCACAGAGGCAGGACTTTCTAGAGAGGGCACCAGACTCCCTGCCCCTGCCTTCAACTCACAGACCGTTGCCTGATTCTGAACTGTATCCTCATGTCCCCTGCAGCCACTCACATCCAGGAGAAGGTTCCATGACAGGCAGAAAGTGGGAGACAGAATCAATGGGATGGGAACTCAGAGCTATTCATGGGATGGGTCCTTGAGCTCAGAGAGATAGAATGTCTGAGTCTGCTGTTGGCAACTGAGGGACCTCAGCCACCTATGGTCTCCCCCTGTATGTTGGTATCTGCTTATGAAATGAGGACCCAGAAGTGCCCTCCGAGCTGTTTTGTTGACTTCCGTCTCCTACAGATGCTGCGGTAATGGACCAAGAGTCTGCAGGGAACAGAACAGCGAATAGCGAGGTAGGTACTCCTCGGCCCGGGCTCGTGGCTACTGTTATTCCCAAAGAGTCCTGGAAAATGTGAGCACCCTCCCTCACTCAGCATTTCCCTCTCTCCAGGACTCTGATGAACAAGACCCTCAGGAGGTGACATACACACAGTTGAATCACTGCGTTTTCACACAGAGAAAAATCACTCGCCCTTCTCAGAGGCCCAAGACACCCCCAACAGATATCATCGTGTACGCGGAACTTCCAAATGCTGAGTCCAGATCCAAAGTTGTCTCCTGCCCATGAGCACCACAGTCAGGCCTTGAGGGCGTCTTCTAGGGAGACAACAGCTCTGTCTCAAAACCGGGTTGCCAGCTCCCATGTACCAGCAGCTGGAATCTGAAGGCATGAGTCTGCATCTTAGGGCATCGCTCTTCCTCACACCACAAATCTGAATGTGCCTCTCACTTGCTTACAAATGTCTAAGGTCCCCACTGCCTGCTGGAGAAAAAACACACTCCTTTGCTTAGCCCACAGTTCTCCATTTCACTTGACCCCTGCCCACCTCTCCAACCTAACTGGCTTACTTCCTAGTCTACTTGAGGCTGCAATCACACTGAGGAACTCACAATTCCAAACATACAAGAGGCTCCCTCTTAACGCAGCACTTAGACACGTGTTGTTCCACCTTCCCTCATGCTGTTCCACCTCCCCTCAGACTAGCTTTCAGTCTTCTGTCAGCAGTAAAACTTATATATTTTTTAAAATAACTTCAATGTAGTTTTCCATCCTTCAAATAAACATGTCTGCCCCCATGGTTTCGGTAATGGGACTCTTTTCTTGCCTAAGGCTTCCGGTGTTATCAGTACCATGTCCATATAATCCCATCTGTTCCCCACTGAGTTCTCATCCCCGGACTCTGAGTTTCTGGAAGCAGGGTGGAGCCTCATTTGTCTCTGAGACTCCAATTTCCATCCAAAGATGTAGCACATAGGAGGTTCCAAGGATCACGAATCATATGAACAAGTGATACTCTTACTCTCTGCAGACCTGGAAAGCTGGCAGAGTCATTCCACAATGAAACATTTGTAGAATCATAGGCCTTGTTAGTCTCATCTCCATGGGGACACATATCAACACATCATCTTTCATAATATAAATATACGGTCACTCCTCCATATCTGCGGGGTTTACAGGTGTTTATTGAACCAAGTATAAATCAAAAATATTGAGAGAAAGTATCCACAGAGTTTCAAAAAGCATAACTATGTTGAATGGACACAAATGAAGCTGTGTGTAGGCTGTATCAGGAATTATAAGTAATCTAGAGATGATTTCATGTATACAGGAGGATGTGCATAGGTTATTTGCAAACTCTGTGCCATTTCATATAAGAGGCTTGAGCATCTACAGATTTTGGTATCTGAGTGGAGATCTCAAAACCAATCACCCACGAATAGTGAAGGATGACCGTATATGACTTTTATTTCTCAAATTTAAATATAAATCATAAAAAATGTACAACTAGATAAAAACTAAGAAGTGTTTTTATAGTGTGAGTTAGATTTATTTTTTCCTAGGTGTAACCAATTGGTTTAATATTATTTATTGAGAAGACATTCTATGCCACCTTAAACCACACGGCAGCCTTTGTCAACTCTAAAGGGACTGTGTGTACATGGATGTATTTTAGACACTGTTTCTGCTAAGGGGCTCTCTGTGTCCACACTCTTGATGATGCTGCACTTTATGTAGCCTTATAGAACCCTTTAAATTTAGTAGCCAGAGCCCTCTAATTTGTTATTATAGGCTGTTTGCTTTTTTTTTCTTGAGGCGGAGTCTTGCTCTGTCGCCCAGGCTGGACTGCAGTGACACAATCTCAGCTCACTGCAACCTCCGCCTCCCAGGTTCAAGCGATTCTCGTGCCTCAGCCTCTTGAGCAGCTGGCGTTACAGGTGCCTGCCACCAGGCACGGCTAATTTTTGGATTTTTAACAGAGACACGGTTTCACTATATTGGCCAAGCTGCTCTCAAACTCCTTATCTCAGTTGATCCGCCCACCTCGGCTTCCCAACGTGCTGGGGAAAACTTGATTTTCTATAGCATTATGTTACTGGATATTTCTGTAAAATTTAAAACGAGGGAGGGAGAGAGACAGACAGAGAGCAAACTCCAGAGTTGGGACTCTGGAATCTTGGGTCATGAGACAAATTTTAGATTAAACTACAAAACTCCAGAATTTACAGGTGTGGTTTTTGCTGATAAAGTACAATTCTAAGATTGTAAATAATTGCATAATCCTTCCCTGGGAATTTAAATCATTTTAGCTGGTTCTGCTGTAATACTAGAAATACAAGCATGAAAAATTCTAATGGTTTATTAGTCACAATGACTCCGAAAACATTAATAATACCTATTAGATACTTTGCATATTACACAGGAAGAAGAGTTTGAATCTCAGATAAAAACAAAAAAAATACATGAAAAGTCTTTCATGTTAGCACAGATTTTAGGCATCTCGTGTTCGGATAAAAATACATGAAAAGTCTTTCACGTTAGCACAGATTTTAGGCATCTTGTGTTCGGGAGGTTGGATCTGAGACGTGTTGTGAGTTGGTCATAGTGAAGGACGTGAGGTGCCAATTCTAGTGAGAACAATTTCCAGGAAGCCGTGTTCCGCTCTTGAGCAAGCATCCACTGGGCCTCATGCAAGGTAGAAAGAGCCTGCGTACGTCACCCTCCCATGATGTAGTCAACATGTAAGCTGCATGGGCAGGGCGCCAAATAACATCCTGTGCGCTGCTGAGCTGAGCTGGGGCGCGGCTGCCTGTCTGCACCGGCAGCACCATGTCGCTCATGGTCGTCAGCATGGCGTGTGTTGGTGAGTCCTGGAAAGGAATAGAGGGAGGGAGCGCGGGGATGGAGATCTGGGCCCAGAGGTGGAGATATAGGCCTGGAGGTGGAGTTATGGGCCTGGAGTGGAGATCTGGGCCTGGAGTGGATATATGGGCCTGGAGATGGAGTGATGGGCCTAGAAGTGGAGATCTGGGTCTGGAGTGGAGATATGGGCCTGGAGGTGGAGATATGGGCCTGGAGTGGAGATCTGGGCCTGGAGTGGAGATAGGAACCTGGAGGGGAGATATGAGCCTGGAGTGAAGATATTGGCCTGGGATGGAGATATGGGCCTGGAGTGGAGACATGGGCCTGGAGGTGGAGATATGGGCCTGGAGGTGGAGACATGGGCCTAGAGGTGGATATCTGGGCCTGGAGTGGACATATGGGCCTAGGATGGAGATATGGGCCTGGGTGTGGAGATATGGGCTTGGGGTGGAGATATGGGCCTGGATTGGAGATATGGGTCTAGGGTGGAAATATTGGCCTGGAGTGGAGATATGGGCCTGGAGTGGAGATATGGGCTTGGGGTGGGGATAGGGGCCTGGGGTGCGGATATGGGCCTGCAGGCTGGGTCTCTACACAGCCGACAGCCCTGTTCTTGGGTGCAGGCTGGCACTGAGGGTGAGTTTCCCTTCAGCCCAGCAAGGGCCTGGCTACCAAGACTCACAGCCCAGTGGGGGCAGCAAGGGAGTCCTGGTTTGCCTGCAGATGGATGGTCCATCATGATCTTTCTTTCCAGGGTTCTTCTTGCTGCAGGGGGCCTGGACACATGAGGGTGAGTCCTTCTCCAAACCTTCGGGTGTCATCTCCCCACATAAGAGGATTTTCCTGAAACAGGAGGGAAGCCCGGTGGGGGATTTTCTTATAAACAAGGATGAGGAGACCCTGGGGTGCTCAGCCCACAGTTCCGACCTTGCCCTCCCCAGCCTTCCTTTCCCTTGGCTGAGTCAGGTTCTGTGGGAACCCGGGAGGGTAGACTGGGGTCCTCCAAGCTGGGCTGTGCGACTGGGATGTGGTGTCACTGGCAGAGGAAGGGAGCAAAGCAGTGCTAGGAACAGCAGGCCTCTGAGGACAAAGGTGTAACTCACACCCTCCAGCGTTTCCATGACGGTAGGGGCTGCAGTGTGGCTGCTGTCATTCTACCTCAGAGGTGGGGGAACCCCAGCCAGGGCCCTGACCTTCCAAATCCTCTGTTGGGGGCTCAGTTGTGTATTGTGGTTCACACATTGGCTGATATTCCATTCACAAAGAACATGCCCTCGACTCCATGTCTATTTGTGTTGTTTTATGTGAGTAATCTTGCAGGATTAAAATCTAGTAGGAGTCCCTTACTCAGCACTTGCTCAAAGTTCTCAGCTGACACTTTTGTTGTAGAGAGACGCCAAGTCTATGCGGGGTGGGTCCTTCCCGTAGCCATGGGCACCCAAGTGTGGTAGGAGCCTTAGAAACGAGGAAAGTGGGGAGAATCTTCTGAGCACTGGCAGGGAGGGGCGGCTCCACATCCTCCTTTCTAAGGTGGCGCCTCCTTCTCCCCCAGGTGGTCAGGACAAGCCCTTGCTGTCTGCCTGGCCCAGCACTGTGGTGCCTCGAGGAGGACATGTGACTCTTCTGTGTCGCTCTCGTCTTGGGTTTACCATCTTCAGTCTGTACAAAGAAGATGGGGTGCCTGTCCCTGAGCTCTACAACAAAATATTCTGGAAGAGCATCCTCATGGGCCCTGTGACCCCTGCACACGCAGGGACCTACAGATGTCGGGGTTCACACCCACGCTCCCCCATTGAGTGGTCAGCACCCAGCAACCCCCTGGTGATCGTGGTCACAGGTCAGAGGACTCATGTCTGGGCTTCTCCTTCTCCCACTTCCTGAATCCCAGAGCATCTGGTGGGGGTGTCCACCAGGGTCCAATCATCCAGGCCCTGACTGTATTTGGTGTCAATGGGGATTGAATACAGGGGAATGGGTGCTGTGGTGGAAAGAGTAACTGTCGGCAGCATGGCTATATTGTAATCCTTGGAGCCTGTGACTATTTATGTTATAGGACATGGGACTGAAGGGGAAGATGGAGTTCAGGTTGTTGATGAGTTGACCTTGAGATGGGGAGACGACCTGGACTCTCCCACTGGGCTCAGTGTAATCACAAGGGTCCACATGAGAGGAGGAGGAAGAGGAGAGTGGGGATTAGAGCAGCGTAGTGGGAGGGAGAGTCCACCAGCCACTGCGGGCTTTGAAAGTGGAGGAAGGCCAGAAGCTACGGAATGCAGGTGGCCTTTAGGGGCTGGAGAAGTCAATGGAACTGATTCTCCCGAGTCTCCAGAGGGAATGCAGCCCTGCAGATGCCTTGATTGTAGCCCAGGAAGAACAGGGTCTGATTTCTGTCAACAGAAGTGTTCTCTCCCGCCGCCGTGTTTGTGATAATTTTCTGCAGCAACAACAGGAAACAACACAGGAATCCAGGTCAAGGACAAGTTAAAAAACCAAACAAGAGGGTTGGCTACCCTAAGGTCAGCAAGGGTGCACTGCTGATGCCACCACCAGGCTGGAGCCGCATAGGGAGGGATCCACAGGGAGAGTCGGGGGTGGAGGGTGAGAGAGAGAGAGAGCATTAGGTCATAGAGCAGGGGAGTGAGTTCTCAGCTCAGGTGTGAGGGGAGCTGTGACAAGGAAGAACCTCCCTGAGGAAACTACCTCTTCTTCCAGGTCTATTTGGGAAACCTTCACTCTCAGCCCAGCCGGGCCCCACGGTTCGCACAGGAGAGAACGTGACCTTGTCCTGCAGCTCCAGGAGCTCATTTGACATGTACCATCTATCCAGGGAGGGGAGGGCCCATGAACCTAGGCTCCCTGCAGTGCCCAGCGTCAATGGAACATTCCAGGCTGACTTTCCTCTGGGCCCTGCCACCCACGGAGGGACCTACACATGCTTCGGCTCTCTCCATGACTCACCCTATGAGTGGTCAGACCCGAGTGACCCACTGCTTGTTTCTGTCACAGGTGAGGAAAGCCCATGCCTGTCCCATGTCCTGTGATCCTAGAGCCTTAGCTGAGGAGCTTCCTGCTGATGATGGAGAGAAGCATGGACAGATGCAGAGAGAACACGCAGCATGGTGTGAGGGAGGGATCAGGGCACAGGATGGCAGACAGGGCACCTCCAAACCCTCCTGCACGGCCTGCATGGAGGCCCGCGGCCAGGGCTCCAGGCACCCAGGCAGATGGAGAAAGTGGTCAGGACAGACCCAGAGGAGCGAGACTCGGCTCAGTTTGGGGAGATCAGAGGCTCCCTCAGACCCTAAACCTTACCCATTTCCCAGAAGCCCATACTGGCCTCTCACCCACACAGAGATGTCATCACCAGCAACCCCTACACCCTTTTCTTTCCGTTTGAAAAAACATTTATTTAGGTTAAATGTAACTATATAATTTGCCACCTTTACCATTTTTAAAAGTAAAATCTAGTGGTCATAAATTCCTTTATATGCAGGGTGCAGTGGCTCACAGTTATAATCTCGGTGCTTTGAGAGGCCAAGGAAGGTGGATCATTTAAGATCAGAGGCTCGAGATCAGCCTGGCCAACATGAGGGAAATTCATCTTTACTAAACAGACAAGAAAAATTGGCTGGGCATGCTGGCATGCACCTGTATTCCTAGCTACATGGGAGGCTGAGGCAGGAGAAGTACGTAAGCCCAGGAGGCAGAGGTTGCACTGAGCTGAGATCAGGCCACTGCACTGCAGCCTGGGAGACAGAGAGAGATTCTGTCTCTAAATAAATAAATACATCTATATTCTTTTTTATTGTTGTTGTTACACTCCACCCTTTACTTCCTGCCCTCTGGTAGCCACCATTCTACTCTCTACCTTCATGAGATCCACCTTTTAGCTCCTGTATATGGGTGAGAAATGGGAATCTTTGCAATGACCTCCAGTTCCATCCATGTGGCTGCAAATGTCAGGATGTTATTCTTTCTACGGATGAGTACTCTCCACTGTGTGTGTGTACTACATTCTCTCTATCCATTCACCCACTGACGGGCAGGTAAGTTGACTCCACATCTTGGCTACTGTGAACAGTGCTGCACCAATCGTATGAGTGCAGATATCACTTCGATACACTGATGTCCTTCCCTTTGGGTTTACACCCAGTAGTGGAATTGCTAGATCCTATCAACAGGGTACCAGGGTTCTCCTTTCTCTACCACCTTGCCAGCATTTATTTTGTCTGTGTTTCAGATAAAAGCCACTTTAATGGGATGAGATGATAGCTCACTGTGATTTCAATTGGCATGATTAGTGATACTGAGCACTTTTTCATGTACATGTTCGCCATTTGTACGTTTTGTTTGTTGAGAAATGTCTGTTCAGGTCTTTTACTAATTGTTAAATTAAATTCATTGTTTTATACCGTTGCTTGAGTTTTATGTATATTCTAGTTATTAATCCCCTCTCAGATGCATACTTCACAAATATTTTCTCCCAATTTGTCTCTTCTTCACTTTGTTGGTTGCTTCCTTTGCGGTGCAGAAGCTGCTTACTTTGATGTAATCCCGAAGGTCTATTATTTTGTTTTGATTTCTTGTGTTTTTGAGATTTCAAATAAAATGTCTTTCCTCAGACAAATGTCCTGGAGCATTTCCCCACTCTTTCCTTTTAGACGCTTAATGGTTTCAGGCCTTAAGTGTTTCTTCCATTTTCATTTGATTTCTGTGTATGGTGAGAGGTAGAGGTGCAGTTTCATCAACTGCATGTAGATACCAGTTTTCCCTGCTCCATTTATTGAAAAGACCGTCGTTTCCTGATTGCAGGTTCTTGGCACGTACAATCGTCAAAGTCCATTGGATGTGAATGCATGAATTATATCTGTGTTCTTCATTCTGCTCCATTGCTCTAAGGGCCTTTATGCCAATGTCATGCTGTTGTGCTTACTACAGCTTTGTAACATATTTTTAAGTCAGGGAGTGTGAGGCCTCCAGCACCTGTTTTGTCTTTATACCTCGAAATCTCAGGACACTGGGCATCATTTAACAATGATGATGGAGAAGGGGACGCCAGGACTCCTAGGGCCCAACATTAGATAACAGAGTGTTGGCCATGAACCAACCTCAAAGATTTCCTTTGAGTAGAAGACAGGCATCCTCATTTCCTCACCTCTCTCCTGTCCTGTGTTCTAGGAAACTCTTCAAGTAGTTCATCTTCACCCACTGAACCAAGCTCCAAAACTGGTGAGTAAAGATCCCTCTTATCTCTGCTTTTGGAAACCTGGGGAGGTTGGTATCTTGGATTCAAGCATTGGCTCAGCACCTCCCAGCTCTGTGATTGTGGGCCTGTCTTCTAACATCTCTGACCCCCAGACACTACAACAGCGAAGGGTATCTGAGGACAGCAAAGGGCTCAGTGAAGTCTCTTCATTTCAAATTTCTGCAGCTGAGACCTCCTCCAAGCTAGACGGACGAGTACAAATCTGACATCCTTCTCAGGGATAAAGTGGTGTTTTTTCTGCCTGCATTCCAAATTGGAGGATAAATTTGAGGGGACTTGAGAGAGGGAGGGGAAGGGAACATCTGATGAGGGAAAGGTGATTTAGAGAAGTTCCACTTGCCAAGGAATGAGCCCCTGTTGGTCATGATGCGACCTTGGCTGAGTCAGCAGAGCAAGAGCCTTGCAGTAAGAAGGAACGTAGTTCATCCACAAATATGACACTTCCACTTACTCACTTATTCAGCCACTGCCCTGTGCTCTGACTGTACAGTGTGGAACCCTTTCCTGCTGTTGCCATAATAAATCTCCACAAACTTCATGGATGACAACAACACAGCTTTTAAAATTATCTTACAGTGTTATAGCTCAGAAATATGAAATGCATTTCACTGGGCTAAAATCAAGGTGACTGCGAGGCTGCCTTTTCTCTGAAGGTTCCAGGCGAGAATCGGCTTTTCACATTTCCCAGCTCCCAGAGGTTCCCACGTTCCTTGGCATCTGGTCCCCATCCTCCTTCCTCGAAGCCCACAAAAGCTCATCACATCTCTCACGTGGCATCACTCAGATCCCTCTTCCTTACCTCACCTCTTTCTCTAAGTGTTGCTCTGACTTTTTCTTCCTCTTTTAAAGACTTTGGGATTCTATTGAGTTTACCAAGATAATCCATCACAATCTCCCTAAAATCACCCAAGATAACCTCTTTTTAAGTTCAGCTGATTAGCAACCATAATTCCATCTGCAATCTTTATTCCTCCTTTCATGTAAAATAACATATTCACAAGCTATGGAGGCTAGGACAGGGACATTTTGGGGGTGGGCCAGCATTCTCCTGCCTTCCACAAATGGTAAACACGATGCATTTGGCCTCTGCTCTTAGGACACTGACATTGCAGATGGGCAAATGGGAGGGCAGAATATGAATGCACAAGTGGACCAGTAATGATTGATCCATTGGGAAGCATCCGTGCATGAAATCTATTTACCTATTTATTTATCTATTTATCTATTTATGTATTTATTTATTTGCGGCGAAGTCATTCTCTGTCCCCGGGCTGGAGTGCAGTGGCATGACCTCAGCTCACCACAACCTCCGCCTCCCGGGTTCAGGCGATTCTCCTGCCTCAGCCTCCTGACTAGTTGTGATTCCAGTCCCCTCCACCACACCCAGCTAATATTCTTTTACATTTTTTAGTAGAGATGGAGTTTCACCATGTTGCGCAGATTGTCTCCAACTCCCAACCTCAAGTGATCCGACCGTCTCAGCATCCCAAAATGCTGGGACTCAAGGTGTGAGACACTGCGCCCAGCCGAAATTTAAAATAAATAATAAAGAATTCTAAGTGTATAATTTCAGGAGACAGAGAAAGTCTCACTAATCAGATAATATTTGTGACCATAATGAAAAAAAAAAGTAGATTCAACCCCTGGAAGATTGGCGGAAGGATTTTCCACACACAGCTGTCAGCCGTGAAGGCACAAATGTGAAAACAATCTGATGTGGAAGGAAGAGGCTCTGCATTCAAATGCTGGGAATGACGTGGGGAGAATGACAAGACGACTGTGGAGAGACGGAGAGCACTCTGGGTACACAGGAAACTAAGGAGGAACAAGGAGCGTGTGTTTGACACTCACAGCCATTGGATTCACCTCGGGGTAGCCAGGAATCCCTACATGATTAATATGACTGACATGAAAATAAGGACGCCCAAGTGCGTAACTGGAATCTAGGAGACCGTGGAAAAGGCAATTCCCGCCCCACTGGTGAAATGTGGTGCTGATTTAGACACTAAATGAATGAAGTAGATGGGTATAAGATATGTCTGTGAGGTAGAATCATTTGTAGGGAGGGCTTGCTGGATTTGATAATGCCTACTTATTTAATTTTGAATATATTAATTTCTTTCTGAGATTTATTTTTCCTACATGTAAATCAATATCTGGCAGAGGAGTGATTGATAGATAGATGAGGGGTGGTGCAAATGAAGGGACTTATTATAGCATAATATACAAGTCTGTGAATGGGAGCTTACGCCTGTAACCCAACACTTTGGGAGGCCAAGGCGTTTGGATCACTTGAGGTCAGGAGTTTGAGACCAGCCTGGCCAACATGGAGAAACCCCATGCTCTTTTTAGCAACCAGTCCTAGGGACCTCATGGAGAACTTGCCAACCACGTCTCATGGGGACAGCATTAATGTATTCATGATGGATCCACCCCCATAACTGGAACGTCTCTCAATAGGCCCAGCCTCCCACACTGCGAGATAAGTGTCAACGTGAGGTTTGGCGGGGTCAAACATCCAAACTATAGCAGTGGTATCCCCAGCATGTTCTCTGATTATTTTGAGAACTATAACTGAGAAAGCAGGAGAAAGCTGGGTATCCTGCCATCGGGGAACTTGTCCTAAACAGATGTTGTATGTGCTTAGCTGGCAACCAAGAAATGAGAGACAATCCATAAAGAGGAACTGCTATAATTAGCTTCTTATTGGATTCCCACCTTCCCCCAGGTATCCGCAGACACCTGCACATTCTGATTGGGACCTCAGTGGCTATCATCCTCTTCATCATCCTCTTCTTCTTTCTCCTTCATTGCTGCTGCTCCAACAAAAAGAGTAAGTCTCACGAAGCAGAGGTCAGAGAGCTCAGGACCATGTGGGGAAGCAGGATGGGAGCACACTGGTGTGTGTTCCTGACTGGCAGGATGGTCCCTGGACCAAGGCAGGAGCCACAGAGGCAGGGCTTTCTAGAGAGAGCACCAGACACCCTGCCCCTGCCTTCAGCTCACAGACCATTGCCTGATTCTGAACTGTATCCTCACGTCCCCTGCAGCCACTGACATCCAGGAGAAGGTTCCATGACAGGCAGAAAGGGGAGACAGAATCACTGGGATGGGAACTCAGAGCTATTCATGGGATGGGTCCTTGAGCTCAGAGAGATAGAATGTCTGGGTCTGGCTGATGACAGCTGAGGGACCTCAGGCACCTACGGCCTCCCGCTGTGTGTTGGTGTCTGCTCATGAAATGAGGACCCAAAAGTGCCCTTCCAGCTGTTTTGATGACTTCTATCTCCTACAGATGCTGCTGTAATGGACCAAGAGCCTGCCGGGGACAGAACAGTGAACAGGGAGGTAGGTTCTCCTCAGCCCAGCCTCATGGATTGAGTCTCATTCCCTAATAGTCTTGAAGAATGTGAGCACCCTCCCTCACTCAGCATTTCCCTCTCTCCAGGACTCTGATGATCAAGACCCTCAGGAGGTGACATATGCACAGTTGGATCACTGCGTTTTCACACAGACAAAAATCACTTCCCCTTCTCAGAGGCCCAAGACACCTCCAACAGATACCACCATGTACATGGAACTTCCAAATGCTAAGCCAAGATCATTGTCTCCTGCCCATAAGCACCACAGTCAGGCCTTGAGGGGATCTTCTAGGGAGACAACAGCCCTGTCTCAAAACCGGGTTGCCAGCTCCCATGTACCAGCAGCTGGAATCTGAAGGCATCAGTCTTCATCTTAGGGGATCGCTCTTCCTCACACCACAAATCTGAACATGCCTCTCTCTTGCTTACAAATGTCTAAGGTCCCCACTGCCTGCTGGAGAGAAGACACACTCCTTTGCTTAGCCCACAATTCTCTATTTCACTTGACCCCTGCCCACCTCTCCAACTGAACTGGCTTACTTCCTAGTCTACTTGAGGCTGCAATCACACTGAGGAACTCACAATTCCAGACATACAAGAGGCTCCCTCTTAACATGGCACTGAGACACGTGCTGTTCCACCTTCCCTCATGCTGTTTCACCTTTCCTCAGACTATTTTCCAGACTTCTGTCAGTCAGCAGTGAAACTTATAAAATTTTTTGTGATTTCAATGTAGCTGTCTCCTTTTCAAATAAACATGTCTGCCCTCATTGCTTTAGGTAATGTGACGCTATTCGCTGAAAGAAACCGCTGTTATCATTACCATGTCCACATAACCCCATCTGTTATCCACTGGGTTCTCTCCCCTGGACTCTGAGCTTCTGGAAGCAGGGTGGAGCCTCATTTGTCTCTGGGACTCCAATTTCCATCCAAAGATGCAGCACATAGGAGGTTCCAAGGATCATGAATCACATGAACAAGTGATATTCTTACTCTCTGCAGACCTGGAAAGCTGGCAGAGTCATTCCACGATGAAACATTTGTAGAGTCATAGGCCTTGTTAGTCTCATCTCCATGGGGACACATATCAACACATCATCTTTCATGCTATATATATATATACAGTCGCTCCTCCGTATCTGTGGGGTTTACAGGTGTTTATTGAACCAACTATAAATAAAAAATATTCAGAGAAGAAAATCCACAAACTTTCAAAAAGCAAAACTATGTTGAAGGGACACAAATGAAGCAGTGTGTAGGCCATATCAGGAATTATAAGTAATCTAGAGATGATTTCATGTATACAGGAGGATGTGCATGGGTTATATGCAAGCGCTGTGCCATTTCATGTAAGAGGCTTCAGCATCTGCAGATTTTGGTATCTGAGTGGAGATCCTGAAACCGATCACCCAGGAATAGTGAAGGATGACCGTATAAAACTGTTATTTCTAAATTTTAAATATAAATCATAAAAAAATTATAAACTAGATAAAAACAAGAAGTGTTTTTATAGTGTGAGAATAAGTTTAGATTTATTTTTTCCTACGTGTAACCCTTTGGTTTAATATTATTTATTGAGAAGACATTCTATGCCACCTTAAACCACAGGGCAGCCTTTGTCAACTCTAAAGGGACTGTGTGTACACGGATGTATTTTAGACACTGTTTCTGCTAAGGGGCTCTCTGTGTCCACACTCTTGAGTATGCTGCACTTTATGTAGCCTTATAGAACCCTTTAAATTTAGTAGCCAGAGCCCTCTAATTTGTTATTATAGGCTACTTGCTATTTTTTTTTTCTTAAGGCGGAATCTTGCTCTGTCACCCAGGCTGGACTGTAGTAGTGCAATCTCAGCTCACTGCAAACTCCGCCTCCCAGGTTCAAGCGATTCTCGTGCCTCAGCCTCTTGAGTAGATGGCATTACAGGTGTCTGCCACCAGGCACGGCTAATTTTTGAATGTTTAGCAGAGACACGGTTTCACTATGTTGGCCAGGCTGCTCTCAAACTCCTCATCTCAGTTGATTCGCCCACCTCGGCTTCCAAACATGCTGGGGGAAACTTGATTTTCTATAGCATTATGTTACTGGATATTTCTGTAAAATTTAAAATGAGGGAGGGACAGAGACAGAGAGAGAGCAAACTCCAGAGTTGGGACTCTGGAATCTTGGGTCATGAGACAAATTATAGATAAAACTATAAAAATCCAGAATTTACATGTGTGGTTTTTGCTGATAAAGTACAATTCGAAGATTGTAAATAATTGCATAATCCTTCCCTGGGAATTTAAATCATTTTAACTGGTTTTGCTGTAATACTAGAAATACAAGCATGAAAAATTCTAATGGTTTATTAGTCACAATGACTCTGAAAACATTAATAATACCTATTAGATATTTTGCATATTACACATGAAGAAGAGTTTGAATCTCAGATAAAAACAATAAAAATACATGAAAAGTTTTTCACGTTAGCACAGATTTTAGGCATCCTGTGTTCCGGAGGTTGGATCTGAGACGTGTTTTGAGTTGGTCATAGTGAAGGACACGAGGTGTCAATTCTAGTGAGAACAATTTCCAGGAAGCCGTGTTCTGCTCTTGAGCGAGCACCCACTGGGCCTCATGAAAGGTAGAAAGAGCCTGCGTACTTCACCCTCCCATGATGTGGTCAACATGTAAACTGCATGGGCAGGGCGCCAAATAACATCCTGTGCGCTGCTGAGCTGAGCTAGGGGTGCGGCCGCCTGTCTGCTCCGGCACCACCATGTCGCTCATGGTCATCAGCAAGGCGTGTGTTGGTGAGTCCTGGAAGGGAATAGAGGGAGGGAGCGCGGGGATGGAGATCTGGGCCCAGAGGTGGAGATATAGGCCTGGAGGTGGAGTTATGGGCCTGGAGTGGAGATCTGGGCCTGGAGGAGATATATGGGCCTAGAGATGGAGTGATGGGCCTAGAAGTGGAGATCTGGGTCTGGAGTGGAGATATGGGCCTGCAGTGGAGATATGGGCCTGGAGTGGAGAGAGGAACCTGGAGAAGAGATAGGAACCTGGATGGGAGGTAGGAGCCTAGGGTGGAGATATGGGACTGGAGTGGAGATATGGGACTGGAGTAGAGATATGGGCCTGGAGTGGAGTTATGGGCCTGGAGTGAAGTTATGGGCCTGGAGGTGGAGATATGGGCCTGGAGTGGAGATATGGGCCTGGAGGTGCAGATATGGACCTGGAGTGGAGATATGGCCCTGGAGTGGAGATGTGGGTCTGGAGTGGAGATATGGGCCTGGAGGTGGAGATAAGGGCCTGGAGTGGAGATATGGGCCTGGAGTGGAGATATGAGCCTGGAGATGGAGATATGGGCCTGGAGTGGAGATATGGGCCTGGAGGTGGAGATATGGGCCTGGAGTGGAGATATGGGCCTGGAGTGGAGATATGGGCGTGGGGTGGAGATATGGGCCTTGAGTGGAGATATGGGACTGAAGTGGAGATATGGGTGTGGGGTGGAGATATGGGACTGGAGTGCAAATATGGGCATGGGGTGGAGATATGGGACTGGAGTGGAGATATGGGCGTTGGGTGGAGATATGGGACTGGAGTGGAGATATGGGCGTGGGGTGGAGATATGGGCCTGGAGTGGAGATATGGGACTGGAGTGGAGATATGGGCGTGGGGTGGAGATATGTGCCTGGAGTGGAGATATGGGCGTGGGGTGGAGATATGGGCCTGGAATGGAGATATGGGCGTTGGGTGGAGATATGGGCCTGGAGTGGAGATATGGGCCTGGAGTGGAGATATGGGCGTGGGGTGGAGATATGGGACTGGAGTGGAGATATGGGCCTGTTGTGGAGATATGGGCTTGGAGTGGAGATATGATCCTGGAGTGTAGTTATGGGCCTGGAGTGGAGATATGGGCCTGGACTGGAGTTATGGGCCTAGGGTGGAGATCTGAGCCTGGATTGGAGATGTGGGCCCAGATTGGCTATATGGGCCTAGGGTGGGAATATCAGCCTGGAGTGGAGATATGTGCCTGGAGTGGAGATATGGGCTTGGGGTAGGGATATGGGCCTGGAGGCTGGGTCTCTGCACAGCCGAGAGCCCTGTTCTTGGGTGCAGGTAGGCACTGAGGGTGAGTTTCCCTTCGGCCCAGGAAGGGCCTGGCTACCAAGACTCACAGCCTAGTGGGGATAGCAAGGAAGGCCTGGTTTGCCTGCAGATGGATGGTCCATCATGATCTTTCTTTCCAGCGTTCTTCTTGCTGCAGGGGGCCTGGCCACATGAGGGTAAGTCCTTCTCCAAACCTTAAGGTGTCATCTCCCCACATAAGAGGATTTTCCTGAAACGGGAGGGAAGTCCTGTCGGGGAGTCTCTCTTAAACTAGAAAGAGGGGACCCTGGGGTGCTTGGCCCACAGTTCCGACCTTGCCTCCCTGGCCTTTCATTTCCTTGGCAGAGTCAAGTTCTGTGGGGACCAGGGTTACACTAGGGTGCTCAAAGCTGGGGTGTGTGGTGGGGAAGTGGTAGGAACAGCAGATCCTCTGAGGACAAAGGTGTTACTCACACACTTCAGCGTTTCCATGACGGTAGGGGCTGCAGTGTGGCTGCTGTCATTCTACCAGAAGAGGTGGGAAACCACAGCCATGGCCCTGACATTCCAAATCCTCTGATGGGGGCTCAGTTGTTTATTTTCATTCAGACATCTGCTGATATTCCATTCTCAAAGGACATGCCCTCCACCCCATGTCTACCCTGTGTTGTTTTATGTGAGTAATCTTACAGTATTAAAATCTAGTAGGAGTCTCTTACTCAGCACTTGCTCAAAGTTCTCAGCTGACACTTTTGTTGTAGGGAGACAGCTTGTCTTTGTGGGATGAGTCCTTCCTTTAGCCCTAGGCACCAAGGTGTGATAGCAGCCATAGAAATGTGGAAAGTGGGGAGAATCTTCTGAGCACAGGGAGGGAGGGGCGGCTCCACATCCTCCTCTCTAAGGCGGCGCCTCCTTCTCCCCAAGGTGGTCAGGACAAGCCCTTGCTTTCTACCTGGCCCAGCCTTGTGGTGCCTCCAGAACATGTGACTCTTCGGTGTCACTCTAATCTTGGGTTTAACAACTTCAGTCTGTACAAGGATGATGGGGTGCCTGTCCCTGAGCTCTACAACAGAATATTCTGGAAAAGCCTTTTCATGGGCCCTGTGACCCCGTCACACACAGGGACCTATAGATGCCGGGGTTCACACACACACTCCCCCAGTGGGGGGTCGGCACCCAGCAACCCCCTGGTGATCGTGGTCACAGGTCAGAGGGCTCCTGTCTGGGATTCTCCTTGTCCCACCTCCTGAATCCCAGAGCTTCTGGTAGGCATGTCCTTGAGGGTCCCTTCACGCAGGCCCTGACTGTATTTGGGGTAAAGGGGGATTGAATACAGGGAAATGGGTGCTGTGGTGGGAAGAATAATTGTCCCCAGTGATGACTACATTCTAATCCCTGGAGTCTGTGACTATTTATGTTATAGGGGAAGGGACTGAAGGGGAAGATGGAGCTCAGGTTGTTGATGAGTTGACCTTGAGATGGGGAGAAGGCCTGGACTGTCCCCCTGGGCTCAGTGTAATGACAAGTGTCCACAGGAAAGGAGGAGGAAGAGGGGAGTGGGGATTAGAGCAGCGTAATGGGAGTCTCCATCAGCTTTGAAGGTGGAGGAAGGCCAGGAGCCATGAATGCAGGTGGCCTATAGAGGCTGGAAAAGTCAAGGAACTGATTCTCCTGAGTCTCCAGAGGGAACGAAACCCTACAGGTGCCTTGATTTTAGCCCAGGAAAAACAGGGCCCGACTTCTGCCTCCAGAAATGGAAGGGGTCAGTGTGCTCTCTCCTGCTGCCATGCTGCTGATAATTTTCTACAGCAGCAACAGGAAACCAACACCGGAACCCAGCTCGAGGAAAAGTTAAGAAAGGACACAAGGATAGCCGGGCGTGGTGGCAGGTGCATGTAATCCTAGCGACTTGGGAGGCTGACGGCAGGAGAATCACTTGAACCCAGGAGACAGAGGTTGCAGTGAGCCTAGACCACACCACTTCACTCCAGCCTGGGCAAAGGAGTGAGACTCTGTCTCCAAAATTAATTAATTAAAGAAACCAAACAAGGAGAAGGTTGGCTACACCAAGATCAGCAAGTGAGGGATGATGATGCCACCACCAGGCTCCATCCACATAGGGAGCGGTTGATACTCCTCCAACCAGCACCAGGAGCCAGGCTATGGAAGCTGGCACAGGCATGGCAAGAGTGGCTCCCAGTCCCCACCAGGAACAGGGTGTGTGGACACTGGTGCCTGCCTTACTGATCAGTTCATACCTCCTGCCAAGGATTCCAATTCGACCAAAAGAGATTGAACCAGGCTGCTAAGAGCCTGGATGTGCAGCCTATCCTGGTTCCTCTTCCACCCCCACATACACAGCAGGAAAGACATTAGTTCAAAATAGATACAACAGCCGAAGAGATGAGGCTGAGCCCAGCGGCAAGGGAATCAGAGGTTACTAGAGACAGAGGGACAGAGAAGAGGGAGGGAGACAGATGGAAGGACCTGCACCAGGAGTTATGGGCACAGAAAAGAACATGAAGACACAGAGAGGAAGGAGAGAGACAGACACCAGGGAGGGGAAGCCTCACTCAATCCAAGTGCCATGGATGGGATGATAAAGAGAGACACCTTCTAAATTCACAAACTCTCTTCCTAGGATTCCGCAGAAAACCTTCCCTCCTGGCCCACCCAGGTCCCCTGGTGAAATCAGAAGAGACAGTCATCCTGCAATGTTGGTCAGATGTCATGTTTGAGCACTTCCTTCTGCACAGAGAGGGGACGTTTAACCACACTTTGCGCCTCATTGGAGAGCACATTGATGGGGTCTCCAAGGGCAACTTCTCCATCGGTCGCATGACACAAGACCTGGCAGGGACCTACAGATGCTACGGTTCTGTTACTCACTCCCCCTATCAGTTGTCAGCGCCCAGTGACCCTCTGGACATCGTGATCACAGGTGAGAGTGTCCAGACATTCTTCTCATTGTCATTGGGATGCAGAGTGAATGATCCAGGACTTGGAGGCCCAGGTGGTTGTAAGGAAGATGAGCTTGGTATTCTTATGGAGAGAGACTGACTTGGTGAGGTCTGTACCAACAGAGACAGAGAAACAGGAGACACAAGTACAGACCAGGTGTCATAACAGAGGACACACACAGGGGCCTTTCCGAGAGTTAGAAAAGACAGAAGGAGTTAAAGGAGACAGACAGACAGACATGTCCCAGAGAGAGGTGTCCCTCCATGCTGACTTTGCTCAGAGACCTGGCACATGTTAGAAGTTTCATTTCTGTTTTACCTCCACAAAGTGTTCTCTACCAGGAGAACCCAAGGACACCCATATTTCTGACCTGAGTTGGGCCCTATGGCCTCAGGCCTTCTGGCACCTACAGATGCCATGTTTATTCTGACACCTCTGCCTTCCAGGTAATGGAAAGTAATCGTCCCAGGATATCATGGCCCCAGAACACCAACTCCTGTATGCTGTGTGAACTTGTAGTCTCCAGACTGGATTCTGAGGCTCACATTCCAAATAACCCCACATATGAGAGGATCACTGAGAGGCACAGAGAGAAATCAGGAACACCAAAAAGCAAAGACATAAACACACAGAGAATGAGCCAGAGGAAGGAGATTGAGAGACTCACAGACACATAAAGAGAGAGAAAAGAGGGCAGAGGAGTGGTGAGAATGATGGAAGGGAGCAGAGAAAAGCACTAAAATTAGAGTCATGAGGGAGAGGCACAAGGACATAGAAAGATGGAGATGTGGGGATGAATTGCAGAGATTCCAAAGAGAACTAGAGAGACCGAGAGGCAGAGCAAGACAGATGATAGATGGATAGATATAGATAGATGATAAATAGGTAGATGATAGATAATAGGTTATAGATACATAGATGATGATTGATTGATTCATTAATAGATGAGACATAGAGATGATGATGATGAAGACAGATAGATAATACATAGAGATAGAGAGGCAGACATAGAGAAATCATAGAGAGAGAGAGATGATACACAGATATAGATAATAGATGATTGATGGATAGATAGAAAATTGATAGATAAATAGATGATATATAGATATAGATGACAGGTAGAGAATTTGTAGATAGGCACGGAATAGATAAATAGATAGATCGATAGATAATAGATAGAAATATGCAGAAAGTTATGAACAGGACACAAAGTGAGAAACTCAGAATTAAAAAAAGTAACATCAAGTGAACCAATCCAAGGAGAGTCAGAGAGAATAAAACAATCCAAAAAGAGAAAACATATCTAGAGGTGGGGAAGTGAGGTCAGAGACCTAGAGAGACAGAGAAGGTGGAAGGAGGAAATAGACGTGAAGAGAGATGGGGTGGAGGGTGAGAGAGAGAGAGAGAGAGCATTAGGTCACAGAGCAGGGGAGTGAGTTCTCAGCTCAGGTGAAGGGAGCTGTGACAAGGAAGATCCTCCCTGAGGAAACTGCCTCTTCTCCTTCCAGGTCTATATGAGAAACCTTCTCTCTCAGCCCAGCCGGGCCCCACGGTTCTGGCAGGAGAGAGCGTGACCTTGTCCTGCAGCTCCCGGAGCTCCTATGACATGTACCATCTATCCAGGGAAGGGGAGGCCCATGAACGTAGGCTCCCTGCAGGGACCAAGGTCAACGGAACATTCCAGGCCGACTTTCCTCTGGACCCTGCCACCCACGGAGGGACCTACAGATGCTTCGGCTCTTTCCGTGACTCTCCATACGAGTGGTCAAAGTCAAGTGACCCACTGCTTGTTTCTGTCACAGGTGAGGAAAGCCCATGGCTGTCCCATGTCCTATGATCCTAGAGCCTTAGCTGAGGAGCTTCCTGCTGAGGATGGAGAGAAGCATGGACAGATGCAGAGAGAAGACGCAGCCTCGGTGTGAGGGAGGGATCAGGGCACAGGATGGCAGACAGGGCACCTCCAAACCCTCCTACATGGCCTGCATGGAGGCCCGCGGCCAGGGCTCCAGGCACCCAGGCAGATGGAGAAAGCGGTCAGGAGAGACCCAGAGGAGGGAGACTGGGCTCAGTTTGGGGAGATCAGAGGTTCCCTCAGCCCCTCAACATTACCCATTTCCCAGAAGCCCATCCTGGCCTCTCACCCACACAGAGATGTCATCACCAGCAATCCCTACACCCTTTACTTTTCTTTGAAGAAATATTTATTGAGGATAAATATACCTATATAGCTTACCACCTTTAACATTTTTTTTTGAGGTGGAGTCTAGCTCTGTCCCCTATGCTGGAGTGCAGTGGCACAATCTCAGCTCACTGCAACCTCCGCCTCCTGGGTTCAAGCGATTCTCCTGCCTCAGCCACCTGAGTAGCTGGTGCTACAGGCACGCACCACCATGCCAGGCTACTTTTTGTATTTTTAGTAGAGAGGTGGTTTCACCATGTTGGTCGAGCTGGTCTCGAACTCCTGACCACATGATCCACCCGCATCAGCCTCCCAAAGTGCTGGGATTACAGGCATGGGCCACCGCACCCAGCCACATTTACCATTTTTAAGTGTAAAGTCTAGTGGTCATAAATACATTTTTATATATATATATACATTTTTTTTACCCTCCACCCTTTTCTTCCTGTCCTCCAGTAGCCACCATTCTACTCTCTACCTTCATGAGATCCACCTTTTAGCTCCTGTATATGGGTGAGAAATGGGAATCTTTGTAATGACCTCCAGTTCCATCCATGTGGCTGCAAATGACAGGATGTTATTCTTTCTATGGATGAGTAGTCTCCACTGTGCGTATGTACTACATTCTCTCTATCCATTCACCCACTGATGGGCAGGTAGGTTGACTCCTCATCTTGGCTACTGTGAACAGTGCTGCACCAATCATACGAGTGCAGATATCACTTCGATATATTGATTTACTTTCCTTTGGATATAAACCCAGTAGTGAAATTGCTGGATACTATGAAAGTTCTCTTTTTTTTTTTTTTCTTTTTTGAGAAAGAGTTTCCCTCCTTAGCCCAAGCTGGAGTCAAAGTGGTGCGACCTTGGCTCATTGCAACCTCCGCCTCCTGGGTTCCAATGATTTTCCTGCCTCAGCCTCCCTAGTAGCTGGGATTACAGGTGCACGCCACCATGCCTGGCTACTTTTTGGTTTTTTTAGTATAGATGCGGTTTCCCCATGTTGGCTGGGCTGCTCTCAAACTCATGACCTCAACTGAGGTGCCCGCCTCAGTCTCCCAAAGTGCCGGGATTACAGGCCTGATCCACCACACCCAACCTCTTTTTAGTTCTTTAAAGGACTTCCATACTTTTCTCCGTAATCGCTGTACTAATTTACACTCCTCCCAACAGGGTACCAGGGTTCTCCTTTCTCTACCACCTTGCCAGCATTTCTTTTGCCTGTCTTGCAGCTAAAAGCCATTTTATTTTATTTCATTTTATTTTGAGATGGAGTTTCGCTCTTGTCACCCAGGCTGAGTGCAGTGGTGCGATCTCGGCTCACCGCAACCTCCACCTCCCAGGTTCAAGCGATTCTCCTGCCTCAGCCTCCCGAGTAGCTGGAATTACAGGCACACGCCACCACGCCCTACTAATTTTTGTATTTTTAGTAGAGACAGCGTTTCTCTATGTGGGTCAGACTGGTCTCAAACTCCCGACCTTATGAGATTCACCCACCTCAGGCTCTCAAAATTCTAGGATGACAGACGTGAGCCACCTCGCCCGGCCTAAAAGCCATTTTAATGGAGTGAGATGAAAACTCACTTTGATTTTAATTTGCGTTTCTCTGATGATGAGTGATACTGAGCAGTTTTTCGTATGTGGGGAAATTTCATGTCTTTTGCTCCTTTTTCAATTAAATCATTTGTTTTATTGAGTTGTTTGAGCTTCTTATATTTCTAGTTATTAATCCCATCTCAGATGCATAGTTTGCACATATTTGCTCCCAATCTGTGGGTTGTCTCTTCACTTTGTTGGTTTATTTTTAGCAGTGCAGAAGTTGCTTAGTTTGAGGTAATCCCAATGGTCTATTTTTGCTTCGATTACTTGTGTTTTCAAGGTTTCAAACAAAATGTCTTTCTTCAGACAAATGTCCTGGAGCATTTCCCCAATATTTTGTTCTACGTGTTTCATAGGTTCAGGCCTTAGACTCACATCTTTAATCCATTTTCATTTGATTTTTGTGTATGGTGACAGGTAGAGGTGCAGTTTCATTCCTCTGCATGTCGATGTCCAGGTTTCCCTGCACTGTTTATTGAAAAGACTGTCCTTTCCTGATTGTGAGTTCTTGGCACCTTTGTCAAAGTCCATTGGATGGGCTGGGCTTGGTAGCTAACACCTGCAATTTCAGCACTTTGGGAGGCCGAGGCGGGTGGATTACCTGAGGCCAGGAGTTCAAGATCAGTCTGGACGACGTGATGAAACATCGTCTCCACTAAAAATATAAAAATTAGCTGAGCATGGTGGTCAGCACCTGTAATACCACTACTCAGGAGTTTGAGGCAAGAGAATGATTGAACCCAGGAGGCTGAGGTTGCAGTGAACTGAGATTGCACCTCTGCACTCCAGCCTGAGTGACAGAGCAAGACTCCATCTCAAAAGAAAAAATAAAAACCATTGGATGTAAATGCATGGAATATATCTGTGTTATTCATTCTGCTCCATTGTTCTATGTGCCTTTCTTTATGCCAATGTCATGCTGTTTTGCTTACTACAGCTCTGTAACATATTTTGAGATCAGGTAGTGTGATGCTCCTGTTTTCTCTTTATACCTTGAAGTCTCAAGACAGTGGGTGTCACATAAAAAAATTATGGAAAAAAGGATCCCAGGACTCCCAGGGCCCAATATTAGATAACAGAGTGTTGGCCATGAACCATCCTCAAAGATTTCCACTGAGTAGAGGACAGACACCCTCATTTCCTCACCTCTCTCCTGTCTCGTGTTCTAGGAAACTCTTCAAATAGTTGGCCTTCACCCACTGAACCAAGCTCCGAAACCGGTGAGTACAGAACCCTCTTATATCCGCTTTTGGAAACCTGGGGAGGTGGAAACCTTGGATTCAGGCGTTGACTCAGCATCTCACAGCTCTGACATTGTACCCCTGTCTTCCACCATCTCCGAACTCCAGATACTCCAACAGCGAAAGGGATCTGGGCCCAACACAGGGCTCAGTGAAATCTCTTCATCCCTCATTTTATGGAGCTGAGACCTCCTACAAGCTAGAAGAATGATTGCCAATCTGACATCCTTCTCAGGAAAAATGCAATGTTTGTTCTGCCTGCATTCCTAACTGGAGGATAAATTCCTGGAGACTTGAGAGAGGGAAGGGAAGGGAACATCTGATGAGGGCGAGGTGTTTTAGAGAAGTTCCACTTGCCAAGGAATGAGCTCCTGTAGGTCATGAAGCAACCCTGGCTGACTCCGCAGAGAAAGAGCCTTGCCGTAACAGAGAACAGAGCTCATGCACGCACACTTCGACTCACTGACTCATTCAGCCACGGCCCCATGCTCAGGCTGTGCAGTGTGGAACCTTTTCCTATTGTTGCCATAACAAATTTCCACAAGATTCGTGGGTGAAAACAAAACGGTTTTTTAATTATCTTACAGTGCTCTAGCTCAAAGTATGAAGTGCATCTCACTGGGCTAAAATCAAGGCGACAGCAAGGCTGCCTTCCCTCTGAGGGTTCCAGGCAAGAATCTGCTTCTCACTTGTCCCAGCTTCTAGAGGCTCCCACATTCCTTCGCTCCTGGTCCCCTTCCTCCTTCCTCAAAGCCCACAAAGGCTGGTCACATCTCACGTGGCATCACTCAGACCCTTCTTCCTTACCACACCTCTTTATCTGAATGCTGCTCTCCCTTCTTCCTCATCTTTTGAAAACTTGGGGATTCTATTGGGTTCACCAAGATGAAAATCCATCATAATCTCCTGGAAATCATTCAGGATACCCTTGTTTTAAGTTCAGCTGATTAGCAACCATAATTCCATCTGCAATCTTCATTCCTCCTTTCCATGTAAAATAAGATATTCACAAGCTATGGAGGCTAGGACAGGGACATTTTGGGGTGGGACAGCATTCTCCTACCTTCCACAAACAGTGAACAAGATGCATTTGGCCTCTGCCCTTGGGACACTGATATTGCAGATGGTTAAATGGGAGGGCAGAAAATGAATGCACAAGTGGACCAATAAATGAATGATCCATTGGGAAGCATCTGTGTATGAAATCTATTTGTTTGTTTCTTCGTTTGTTTATTGAGACAGAGTCTCCCTCTGTCTTCCAGGCTACAGTGCAGTGTCACCATCTTGGCTCACTGCAACCTGCACCTTCTGGATCCAAGTGATTCTCCTGCGTCAGCCTCTCGAGTAGCTGGGATTACAGGCAACTGCCACCATGCCCGGCTAATTCTTTTTGTATATTTTTTGTAGAGGATGTTTCACCATCTTCGCCAAGCTTCTCTGAAACTCCCAACCTCAAGTGATCCGACCGTCTCAGCATCCTAAAGTACTGGGATAACTGGCGTGAGCCACTGTGCCCAGCCAGAATTTAAAATAAATAATACATAATGCTGAGTGTATGATTTTGGGTGACAGAGAAGATCTCACTAATCAGATATTTGTGACATTAATGAAAAACACGGATTGAACCCCTGAAAGATTGGTGGAAGGATTTTCCACACAGCTGTCAGCCGTGAAGGCACAAAGGTGAAAATAATCTGATGTTGAAGGAAGAGGCTCTGCCTCAAATGCTGGGAATGACGTGGGGAGAATGACAAGACGACTGTAGAGAGACCCAGAGCACACTGGGTACACAGGAAACTAAGGAGCAACAAGGAGTGTGTGTTTGACACTCACAGCCATTGGATTCACCTCGGGGTAGCCAGGAATCCCTACATGATTAATATGACTGACATGAAAATAAGGGAGGCCCAGGTGCGTAACTGGAATCTAGGAGACTGTGGAAAAGGCAATTCCCGCCTCACTGGTGAAATGTGGTGCTGATTTAGACCCTAACTGGGTGAAGCAGATGGATATAAGATATGCTTGTGAGGTGGAATCATTGGCTGGAAAGGCTTGCTGGGTTTGATTTTCCTAGTTGTCTAATCCTCGCTTAATTTCTTTCTGAGCTTTATTCCTACTACACATAAATCAATACCTGGCAAAGGAGTGACAGATATATGAGGGGTGGTGGAAATGAAGGGACCTATTATAGCATAATATACAAGTCTGTGAACGGTGGCTCACGCCTGTAACCCAGCACTGCAGGAGGCCAAGGCGGGTGGATCACACGAAGTCAGCAGTTCGAGACCAGCCTGGCCAACATGGTGAAACCCTGTCTCTAGGAAAAACACAAAAATTAGCCGAACATGGTGGTGCATCCCTGTAATGCCAGCTCCTACTCTGGAGGATGAAGCAGGAGAATGACTTCAACCCAGGAGGTGGAGTTTGCAGTGAGTGGAGATTGCATCACTGCACTCCAGCCTGGGTGACACAAGGAGACTCCGTCTCAAAAAATAAAAATAAGAAATGCATAAATATAAATATAATATAACACACGCAAATGACAAAGGGACCTGAATTCCAATCATGATTTTTCTATTTCTCTATAATTACTTCTTTGATCCTTTATCTTATCCATTAGGCAATGAGCCTAAAACCTCTTCCCTATTTGGCTTTCTGTGAGCATGAGATCATATAGAAAATGTGAAAGCCCGCTGAATCCTCCAGCACAGATCCTGGAATACACAAAGTGCTCTGTTCATCACAAAAAAAACATGCCCTCTCACCCAAATCCCCCACCTCACCCCTACTTCCAATCATCTGTGGAGATTCAGATAGGCCATGGGGAGGTAAATTCTAATACTCCTTGGAGTGAGTCCAGATCTTGGAATCAGAGATCAGCGTCAGCACTAGCTCCTGCTCCCCTTTCCTACTAATTCACAGGAGGACAGGTGGTATTGAAGCAATAGATGGCCGAGGGTGTGGTCCTTCCCCCAGCCTCTGGGGTAGAACAGCAGCCTAACATGTGTCTCCTGAGATCACAAAGAGTAGCACGTTTCACATGGGCTTCAACATTGTTTCCTGGCCATTTGACATAAGAGAATTCTACTTCGCTTTTTTTATCTTGATTTCACTTTTGTTTCCTTTTCTTGGAGAATGCAAGTTGTTTGACTCAAGAATGCCGTGGATGTAGAAATCCTAAAGCACATTCGCTGTGTATCAATCCCAGTGCAGTCTTCCCAGAGAAGACTCTAAACACCTCCTGGACTGCACCTGGGCCTATGCCAATTCCTATCACTCACCGTCACTCCAGGAAGACAGAACACACAGAGAATACATTACACAGGCAGGTTCATTACTAACAGATAAGCAGCGAGTGACAACAGAAGCCTACATTTCAATGTGAGCCAGTCCCTCAAGGCTCAGAAAAGCTGCTCGGGACATATGGAGTCACCCCATTTGCAGTGTAGCTGGGGGAAGCCAGAAAGCAGCCCAGCCTGGGTTTTGTACCCTGGAGCCACAGGAAGCACTCAGCTAAAGCACTGCATGACGCCTTCCTCCAGGAAGAACAGGAAGACAGCCCAGGCTGTTCTGAGACATTCCTCCTGATCTCAGGACGTTGCTGTCGTAGTTTTTTTTTGTTGCTCTAAAGGAAAACTTGAGCCTCGGTAACTTCTAAAGAAAAGAGATCGGTTTGCCTCACCGTTCTGCAGGCTGTACTGGAAGCATGGCACCAGAATCTATTTCTTGTGACGGCCTCAGGCTGCTCCCACTCTGGCAGAAGGGAAGGAGGGTCTGTCTGTGCAGAGACCGCAGAGATCACACGGCAAGAGAGAGAGTAAGGGGGAGGGGGAGCGATGGAGCTTCCAAGCTCTTTTGAACAACCAGCTCTCCGGAAACTAATAGAGGGGGAACTTGCTAACCCCGTCTCCTTGGGACAGCATTGTTCTGTTCATGATGGATCCACCTCCATGACCCAAACACCTCCCAAGAGGCCCAACCTCCCACAGTGGGGGTGAAATTTCCATGTGAGGTTTGAAGGGGTCAGACATCTCAACTAAAGTAGTTGTATCCTCAGCACGTTCTATGGTTACTATGAGAGCTATAATTGAGAAAGCAGGGGAAAGCTAGGTCTCCCACCATTTGGGTGCTTGTCCTAAAGAGACGTTGTATGTGGTTACCTGTCAATCAAGAAATGCGAGACAATTCATAAAGAGGAACTGCTATGATTAGCTTCTTATTGGTGTCTCCTCTTCTTCCAGGTAACCCCAGACACCTACACGTTCTGATTGGGACCTCAGTGGTCAAACTCCCTTTCACCATCCTCCTCTTCTTTCTCCTTCATCGCTGGTGCTCCAACAAAAAAAGTAAGTCTCACGAAGCAGAGGCCAGAGAGCTCAGGGCCATGTGGGGAAGCAGGATGGTAGCACGCGGGTGTGTGTTCCTCACAGGCAGGATGGTCCCTGGCCCAAGGCAGGAGCCACAGAGGCAGGACTTTCTAGAGAGAGCACCAGATTCCCTTCCCCTGCCTTCAGCTCACAGACCATTGCCTGATTCTGAACTGTACCCTCACGTCCCCTGCAGCCACTCACATCCAGGAGAAGGTTCCATGACAGGCAGAAAGTGGGAGATAGAATCAATGGGATGGGAACTCAGAGCTATTCATGGGATGGGTCCTTGAGCTCAGAGAGATAGAATGTCTGAGTCTGCTGTTGGCAACTGAGGGACCTCAGGCACCTATGGCCTCCCCCTGTTTGTTGGTATCTGCTTATGAAATGAGGACCCAGAAGTGCCCTCCGAGCTGTTTTGTTGACTTCCATCTTCTACAGATGCATCTGTAATGGACCAAGGGCCTGCGGGGAACAGAACAGTGAACAGGGAGGTAGGTGCTCCTCGGCCCAGCCTCGTGGCTAGTCTTATTCCCAAAGAGTCCTGAAAAATGTGAGCACCCTCCCTCACTCAGCATTTCCCTCTCTCCAGGATTCTGATGAACAGGACCATCAGGAGGTGTCATACGCATAATTGGATCACTGTGTTTTCACACAGAGAAAAATCACTCCCCCTTCTCAGAGGCCCAAGACACCCCCAGCAGATACCAGCATGTACATAGAACTTCCAAATGCTGAGTCCAGATCCAAAGCTGTCTTCTGTCCACGAGCACCACAGTCAGGCCTTGAGGGGATCTTCTAGGGAGACAACAGCCCTGTCTCAAAACCGGGTTGCCAGCTCCCATGTACCAGCAGCTGGAATCTGAAGGCATCAGTCTTCATCTTAGGGGATCGCTCTTCCTCACACCACGAATCTGAACATGCCTCTCTCTTGCTTACAAATGTCTAAGGTCCCCACTGCCTGCTGGAGAGAAAACACACTCCTTTGCTTAGCCCACAATTCTCCATTTCACTTGACCCCTGCCCACCTCTCCAACCTAACTGGCTTACTTCCTAGTCTACTTGAGGCTGCAATCACACTGAGGAACTCACAATTCCAAACATACAAGAGGCTCCCTCTTAACACAGCACTTAGACACGTGCTGTTCCACCTTCTCTCATGCAGTTCCACCTCCCCTCAGACTATCTTTCAGCCTTCTGTCAGCAGTAAAACTTATAAATTGTTTTTAGTAATTTCAATGTAGTTTTCCCTCCTTCAAATAAACATGTCTGCCCTCATGGTTTCGGTAATGGGACTCTTTTCTTGCCTAAGGCTTCCGGTGTTATCATTACCATGTCCACATAACCCCATCTGTTCTCCACTGGGTTCTCACCCCTGGACTCTGAGCTTCTGGAACAGGGTGGACCCTGACTTGTCTCTGAGACTCCAATTTCCATCCAAAGATGCAGCACATAGGAAGTTCCAAGGATCGTGAATCACATGAACAAGTGATATTCTTACTCTCTGCAGACCTGGAAAGCTGGCAGAGTCATTCCATGATGAAACATTTGTAGAGTCATAGGCCTTGTTAGTCTCATCTCCACGGGGACACATGTCAACGCATCATCTTTCATACTATAAATATACAGTCGCTCCTCCGTATCTGTGGGGTTTACAGGTGTTTATTGAACCAAGTATAAATCAAAAATATTCAGAGAAAAAGCCCACAAAGTTCCAAAAAGCAAAACTGTGTTGAATGCACACAAATGAGGTGGTGTATAGGCTGTATCAGGAATTATAAGTAATCAAGAGATGATTTCATGTATACAGGAGGATGTGCATGGGTTATATCCAAATGCTGTGTCATTTTATGTAAGAGGCTTGAGCATCTGCAGATTTTAGTATCTGAGTGGAGATCCTGAAACCAATCACCCATGAATAGTGAAGGATGACGGTATAGGACTTTTATTTCTCAAATTTAAATATAAATCATAAAAAATGTACAATAACTAGATAAAAACTAAGAAGTGTTTTTATAGTGTGAGAATAAGTTTAGATTTATTATTTCCTATGTGTAACCCTTTGGTTTAATATTATTTATTGAGAAGACATTCTATGCCACCTTAAACCACACGGCAGCCTTTGTCAACTAAAAAGGGACTGTGTGTACACGGATGTGTATTTTAGACACTGTCTCTGCTAAACGGCTCTCTGTGTCCACATTCTTGAGGATGCTCCACTTTATGTAGCCCCATAGAACCCTTTAAATTTAGTAGCCAGAGGCCTCTAATTTGTTATTATAGGCTATTTGCTATTTTTATTTTCTTGAGGCGGAGTCTTGCTCTGTCGCCCAGGCTGGACTGCAGTGGTGCAATCTCAGCTCACTGCAACCTCCGCCTCCCAGGTTCAAGCGATTCTCGTGCCTCAGCCTCTTGGGTAGCTGGTGTTACAAGTTCCTGCCACTGGGCACGGCTAATTTTTGGATTTTTAGCAGAGACACGGTTTCACTGTGTTGCCAGGCTGCTCTCAAACTCCTTATATCAGTTGATCCGCCCACCTCGGCTTCCCGACGTGCTGGGGGAAACTTGATTTTCTATAGCATTATGTTACTGGATATTTCTGTAAAATTTAAAATGAGGGAGGGAGAGAGACAGAGAGAGAGCAAACTCCAGAGTTGGGACTCTGGAAACTTGGGTCATGAGACAAATTTTAGATAAATCTACAAAAATCCAGAGTTTAAATGTGTGGTTTTTGCTGATAACGTACAATTCAAAGATTGTAAATAATTGCATAATCCTTCCCTGGGAATTTAAATCATTTTAACTGGTTCTGCTGTAATACTAGAAATACAAGCATGAAAAATTCTAATGGTTTATTAGTCACAATGACTCTGAAAACCTTAATAATACCTATTAGATATTTTGCATATTACACAGGAAGAAGAGTTTGAATCTCAGATAAAAACAATAAAAATACATGAAAAGTCTTTCACGTTAGCACAGATTTTAGGCATCTCGTGTTCAGGAGGTTGGATCTGAGACGTGTTTTGAGTTGGTCATAGTGAAGGACGCTAGGTGTAAATTCTAGTGAGAACAATTTCCAGGAAGCCGTGTTCCGCTCTTGAGCGAGCAACCACTGGGCCTCATGCAAGGTAGAAAGAGCCTGCGTACGTCACCCTCCCATGATGTGGTCAACATGTAAACTGCATGGGCAGGGCGCCAAATAACATCCTGTGCGCTGCTGAGCTGAGCTGGGGCGCGGCCGCCTGTCTGCACCGGCAGCACCATGTCGCTCACGGTCGTCAGCATGGCGTGTGTTGGTGAGTCCTGGAAGGGAATAGAGGAAGGGAGTGTGGGGTTGGAGATCTGGGCCCAGAGGTGGAGATATAGGCCTGGAGGTGGAGTTGTGGGCCTGGAGTGGAGATCTGGGCCTGGAGTGGATATATGGGCCTAGAGATGGAGTGATGGGCCTAGAAGTGGAGATCTGGGCCTGGAGTGCCGATAGGAACCTGGAGGGGAGATAGGAGCCTGGAGTGGAGATATGGGCCTGGAGGTGGAGTTATAGGCCTATAGTAGAGATATGGGCCTGGAGTGGAGATATGGGCCAGGAGTGGAGATATGGGCCTAGAGGTGGATATCTGGGCCTAGAGTGGAAATATGGGCCTAGGATGGAGATATGGGCCTGGTTGTGGAGATATGGGACTGGAGAGGAGATATGGGCCTAGAGTGGAGATATGGGCTTGGGGTGGAGATCTGGGCCTGGGGTGGAGATATGGGCCTGGAGGTGGAGTTACGGGCCTTCAGTAGAGATATGGGCCTGGGGTGGAGATATGGGCTTGGGGTGGAGATCTGGGCCTGGAGTGGAGATATGGGCCTGGAGGTGGAGTTACTGGCCTTCAGTAGAGATATGGGCCTGGTGTGGAGATATGGGCCTGGATTGGAGATATGGGCCTAGGGTGGAGATCTGAGCCTGGAGTGGAGATATGGGCCTGGATTGGAGATATGGGCTTACAGTGGAGATCTTGGCCTGGATTGGCGATATGGGCCTGGATTGGCGATATGGGCCTATGATGGAAATATCGGCCTGGAGTGGAGATATGGGCCTGGAGTGGAGATACAGGCCTAGGGTGGAAATATTGGCCTGGAGTGGAGATATGGGCTTGTGGTGGGGATATGGGCTTGTGGTGGGGATCTGGGCTTGGAGGCTGGGTCTCTGCACAGCCGACAGCCCTGTTCTTGGGTGCAGGTAGGCACTGAGGGTGAGTTTAACTTCAGTCCAGGAAGGGCCTGCCTACCAAGACTCACAGCCCAGTGAGGGCAGCAAGGGAGGGCTGGTTTGCCTGCAGATGGATCGTCCATCATGATCTTTCTTTCCAGGGTTCTTCTTGCTGCAGGGGGCCTGGCCACATGAGGGTGAGTCCTTCTCCAAACCTTAGGGTGTCATCTCCCCACATAAGAGGATTTTCCTGAAACAGGAGGGAAGTCCTGTCAGGGAGCCTCTCATAAACTAGGAAGAGGGGACCCTGGGGTGCTCGGCCCACAGTTCCGACCTCGCCTCCCTGGCCTTTCATTCCCTTGGCAGAGTCAAGTTCTGTGGGGACCAGGGTTAGACTGGGGTGCTCAAAGCTGGGGTGCGTGGTGGGGAAGTGGTAGGAACAGCAGATCCTCTGAGGACAAAGGTGTTACTCACACTTCAGCGTTTCCATGACGGTAGGGGCTGCAGTGTGGCTGCTGTCACTCCACCAGAAGAGGTGGGAAACCACAGCCATGGCCCTGACATTCCAAATCCTCTGATGGGGGCTCAGTTGCTTATTTTCATTCAGGCATCTGCTGATATTCCATTCTCAAAGACATGCCCTCCACCCCATGTCTACCCTGTGTTGTTTTATGTGAGTAATCTTACAGTATTAAAATCTAGTAGGAGTCTCTTACTCAGCACTTGCTCAAAGTTCTCAGCTGACACTTTTGTTGTAGGGAGACACCTTGTGTTTGCGGGATGGGTCCTTCCTTTAGCCCTGGGCACCAAGGTGTGATAGCAGCCATAGAAACTTGGAAAGCGAGGAGAATCTTCAGAGCACAGGGAGGGAGGGGTGGCTCCACATCCTCCTCTCTAAGGCGGTGCCTCCTTCTCCCCAAGGTGGTCAGGACAAGCCCTTGCTGTCTGCCTGGCCCAGCTCTGTGGTGCCTCCAGGACATGTGATTCTTCGGTGTCATTCTTATCTTGGGTTTAACAACTTCAGTCTGTAAAAGGAAGATGGGGTGCCTGGCACTGAGCTCTACAACAGAATATTCTGGAAGAGCCTTTTCATGGGCCCTGTGACCCCAGCACACACAGGGACGTACAGATGTCGGGGTTCACACCCACACTACCCCAGTGGGTGGTCGGCACCCAGCAACACCCTGGTGATCATGGCCACAGGTCAGAGGGCTCCTGTCTTGGATTCTCCTTTCCCACCTCCTGAATCCCAGAGCTTCTGGTGGGCGTGTCCTTGAGGGTCCCATCACCCAGGCCCTGACTATATTTGGGGTAAAGGGGGATTGAATACAGGGAAATGGGTGCTGTGGTGGGAAGAATAATTGTCCCCAGTGATGACTACATTCTAATCCCTGGAGTCTGTGACTATTTATGTTATAGGGGAAGGAACTGAAGGGGAAGATGGAGCTCAGGTTGTTGATGAGTTGACCTTGAGATGGGGAGACAGCCTGGACTGTCCCGCTGGGCTCAGTGTAATCACAAGGGTCCACATGAAAGGAGGAGGAAGAGGGGAGTGGGGATTAGAGCAGCGCAATGGGAGACTCCACCAGCTTTGAAGGTGGAGGAAGGCCAGGAGCCATGAATGCAGGTGGCCTGTAGAGGTTGGAAAAGTCAAGGAAATGATTCTCCAGAGTCTCCAGAGGGAACGAAGCCCTGCAGATGCCTTGATTTTAGCCCAGGAAAAACAGGGTCCTATTTCTGTCTCCAGTAGTGAAATGGGTCAGTGTGCTCTCTCCTGCTGCCATGCTTCTGATAATTTTCTACAGCAGCAACAGGAAACCAACACTGGAACCCAGGTCAAGGACAAGGTAAGAAACAACACAAGGATAGCCGGGTGTGGTGGCAGGCGCATGTAATCCTAGCGACTTGGGAGGCTGAGGGCAGGAGAATCACTTGAACCCAGGAGACAGAGGTTGCAGTGACCCTAGACCACACCACTTCACTCCAGCTGGGGTGAAGGAGTGAGACTCTGTCTCCATAATTAATTAATTAATTAAAGGAACCAAACAAGGGGAAGGTTGGCTACACCGAGATGAGCAAGTGTGGGATGATGATGCCACCACCAGGCTCCATCCACATAGGGAGGGGTTGATACTCCTCAAACCAGCACCAGGAGCCAGCCTATGGAAGCTGGCACCATGGAGAAGGCACAGGCATGGCAAGAGTGGCTCCCAGTCCCGACCAGGAACAGGGTGTGTGGACACTGGTGCCTGCCTTATTCATCAGTTCATACCTACTGCCAAGGATTCCAATTCATCCAAAAGAGATTGAACCAGGCTGATAAGAGGCTGGATGTGCAGCCTATCCTGGTTCCTCTTTCACCCCCACATAAACAGCAGGAAAGACATTAGTGTGAAATAGATACAACACCCCAAGAGATGAGGCTAAGCCCAGTGGGAAGGGAATCAGAGGCGACTAGAGACAGAGGGACAGAGAAGAGGGAGGGAGACAGATGGAAGGACCTGCACCAGGAGTTATGGGCACAGAAAAGAACATGAAGACACAGAGAGGAAGGAGAGAGACAGACACCAGCAAGGGGAAGCCTCACTCATTCTAGGTGCCATGGATGGGATGATAAAGAGAGACACCTTCTAAACTCACAACCTCTCTTCCTAGGAGTCCACAGAAAACCTTCCCTCCTGGCCCACCCAGGTCCCCTGGTGAAATCAGAAGAGACAGTCATCCTGCAATGTTGGTCAGATGTCAGGTTTGAGCACTTCCTTCTGCACAGAGAAGGGAAGTTTAACGACACTTTGCACCTCACTGGAGAGCACCATGATGGGGTTTCCAAGGCCAACTTCTCCATCGGTCCCATGATGGAAGACCTGGCAGGGACCTACAGATGCTACGGTTCTGTTACTCACTCCCCCATCAGTTGTCAGCTCCCAGTGACCCTCTGGACATCGTCATCACAGGTGAGAGTGTCCGGACATTCTTCTCATTGTCATTGGGATGCAGAGTGAATGATCCACGACTTGGAACCCCCAGGTAGTTGTAAGGAAGATGAGCTTGGTATTCTTATGGAGAGAGACTGACTTGGTGAGGTCTGTACCAACAGAGACAGAGAAACAGGAGACACAAGTACAGACCAGGTGTCATAACAGAGGACAGACACAGGGGCCATACCGGGAGTTAGAAAAGACAGAAGGAGTTAAAGGAGACAGACAGACAGACATGTCCCAGAGAGAGGTGTCCCTCCATGCTGACTTTGCTCAGAGACCTGGCACAGGTTAGAAGTTTCATTTCTGTTTTACCTCCACAAAGTGTTCTCTACCAGGAGAACCCAAGGACACCCATATTTCTGACCTGAGTTGGGCCCTGTGGCCTCAGGCCTTGTGGCACCTACAGATGCCGTGTTTATTCTGACACCTCTGCCTTCCATGTAATGGAGAGTAACCGTCCCAGGATATCATGGCCCCAGAACACCAACTCCTGTATGCTGTGTGAACTTGTGGTCTCCAGACTGGATTCTGAGGCTCACATTCCAAATAACCCCACATATGAAAGGATCACTGAGAGGCACAGAGAGAAATCAGGGACACCAAAAAGCAAAGACATAAACACACAGAGAATGAGCCAGAGGAAGGAGATTGAGAGACTCACAGACACATAAAGAGAGAGAAAAGAGGGCAGAGGAGTGGTGAGAATGATGGAAGGGAGCAGAGAAAAGCACTAAAATTAGACTCCTGAGGGAGAGGCACAAGGACATAGAAAGATGGAGATGTGGGGATGAATTGCAGAGATTCCAAAGAGAACTAGAGAGACCGAGAGGCAGAGCAAGACAGATGATAGAAGGTTAGATATAGATAGATGATAAATAGGTAGATGATAGATAATAGGTTAAAGATACATAGATGATGATTGATTGATTCATTAATAGATGAGACATAGAGATGATGATGATGAAGACAGATAGATAATACATAGAGATAGAGAGGCAGACAGAAGTCATAGAGAGAGAGATGATACATAGATATAGATAACAGATGATTGATGGATAGATAGACAAGTGATAGATACATAGATGATATATAGATATAGATGACAGGTAGAGAATTTGTAGATAGGCACCGAATAGATAAATAGATAGATCGATAGATAATAGATAGAAATATGCAGAAAGTTATGAACAGGACACAAAGTGAGAAACTTAGAATTTAAAAAAGTAACATCAAGTCAACCAATCCAAGGAGAGTCAGAGAGAATAAAACAATCCAAAAAGGGAAAACATATCTAGAGGTGTGGAAGCGAGGTCAGAGACCTAGAGAGACAGAGAAGGTGGAAGGAGGAAATAGACATGAAGAGAGATGGGGTGGAGGGTGAGAGAGAGAGAGAGAGAGCATTAGGTCATAGAGCAGGGGAGTGAGTTCTCAGCTCAGGTGAAGGGAGCTGTGACAAGGAAGATCCTCCGTAAGGAAAATGCCTCTTCTCCTTCCAGGTCTATATGAGAAACCTTCTCTCTCAGCCCAGCCGGGCCCCACGGTTCTGGCAGGAGAGAGCGTGACCTTGTCCTGCAGCTCCCGGAGCTCCTATGACATGTACCATCTATCCAGGGAGGGGGAGGCCCATGAACGTAGGTTCTCTGCAGGGCCCAAGGTCAACGGAACATTCCAGGCTGACTTTCCTCTGGGCCCTGCCACCCACGGAGGAACCTACAGATGCTTCGGCTCTTTCCGTGACTCTCCCTATGAGTGGTCAAACTCGAGTGACCCACTGCTTGTTTCTGTCACAGGTGAGGAAAGCCCATGGCTGTCCCATGTCCTATGATCCTAGAGCCTTAGCTGAGGAGCTTCCTGCTGAGGATGGAGAGAAGGATGAACAGATGCAGAGAGAAGACGAAGCTTGGGTGTGAGGGAGGGATCAGGGCACAGGATGGCAGACAGGGCACCTCCAAACCCTCCTACATGGCCTGCATGAAGGCCTGCGGCCAGGACTCCAGGCACCCAGGCAGATGGAGAAAGCGGTCAGGAGAGACCCAGAGGAGGGAGACTGGGCTCAGTTTGGGAAGATCAGAGGTTCCCTCAGCCCCTCAACATTACCCATTTCCCAGAAGCCCATCCTGGCCTCCCACCCACACAGGGATGTCATCACCTGCAACCCCTACACCCTTTACTTTTGTTTGAGAAATATTTATTGAGGATAAATATACCTATATAGCTTACCACCTTTAACATTTTTTTTTTGAGGCGGAGTCTAGCTCTGTCCCCTATGCTGGAGTGCATTGGCACAATCTCAGCTCACTGCAACTTCCGCCTCCTGGGTTCAAGCGATTCTCTTGCCTCAGCCACCTGAGTAGCTGGTGCTACAGGCGCGCACCACCATGCCAGGCTACTTTTTGTATTTTTAGTAGAGAGGGGGTTTCACCATGTTGGTCAAGCTGGTCTCGAACTCCTGACCACGTGATCCACCCGCATCAGCCTCCCAAAGTGCTGGGATTACAGGCATGAGCCACCACGCCCAGCCACATTTACCATTTTTAAGTGTAAAGTCTAGTGGTCATAAATACATTAATATATATATATATACACATATTTTTTTTTACCCTCCACCCTTTTCTTCCTGGCCTCTGGTAGCCACCATTCTACTCTCTACCTTCATGAGATCCACCTTTTAGCTCCTGTATATGGGTAAGAAATGGGAATCTTTGTAATGACCTCCAGTTCCATCCATGTGGCTGCAAATATCAGGATGTTTTTCTTTCTATGGAAGAGTAGTCTCCACTATGCAAATGTACCACATTCTCTCTATCCATTCACCCACTGATGGGCAGGTAGGTTGACTCCTCATCTTGGCTACTGTGAAGAGTGCTGCACCAATCATACGAGTGCAGATATCACTTCGATATATTGATTTACTTTCCTTTGGATATAAACCCAGTAGTGAAATTGCTGGATACTATGAAAGTTCTCTTTTTAGTTTTTCGTTTGTTGTTTTGTTTTTGTTTTTGAGACAGTTTCCCTCTGTGCCCAGGCTGGAGTACAAGTGATGTCATCTTGGCTCATTGCAACCTCTGCCTCCTGGGTTCAAATGATTTTCCTGCCTCAGCCTCCCTAGTATCAGGGATTATAGGCGCACGCCACCATGCCTGGCTACTTTTTGTTTTTTTTAGTATAGATGCGGTTTCCCCATGTTGGCTGGGCTGCTCTCAAACTCATGACCTCAACTGAGGTGCCCGCCTCGGTCTCCCAAAGTGCCGGGATTACAGGCATGATCCACCTCACCCAACCTCTTTTTAGTTCTTTAAAGGACTTCCACACTTTTCTCCGTAATGGCTGTACTAATTTACACTCCTACCAACAGGATACCAGGATTCTCCTTTCTCTAACACTTTGCCAGCATTTCTTTTGCCTGTCTTGCAGCTAAAAGCCATTTTATTTTATTTCATTTTATTTTGAGATGGAGTTTCGCTCTTGTCACCCAGGCTGAGTGCAGTGGTGCGATCTCGGCTCACCACAACCTCCACCTCCCAGGTTCAAGCGATTCTCCTGCCTCAGCCTCCCGAGTAGCTGGAATTACAGGCACACGCCACCACGCCCGACTAATTTTTGTATTTTTAGTAGAGACAGTGTTTCTCCATGTGGGTCAGACTGGTCTCAAACTCCCGACCTTATGAGATTCACCCACCTCAGGCTCTCAAAGTTCTAGGATGACAGACGTGAGCCACCACGCCCGGCCTAAAAGCCATTTTAATGGGGTGAGATGAAAACTCACTTTGATTTTAATTTGCGTTTCTCTGATGATGAGTGATACTGAGCACTTTTTCGTATGTGGGGAAATTTCATGTCTTTTGCTCCTGTTTCAATTAAATCATTTGTTTTATTGAGTTGTTTGAGCTTCTTATATTTCTAGTTATTAATCCCATCTCAGATGCATAGTTTGCACATATTTGCTCCCAATCTGTGGGTTGTCTCTTCACTTTGTTGGTTTATTTTTAGCGGTGCAGAAGTTGCTTAGTTTGAGGTAATCCCAATGGTCTATTTTTGCTTCGATTACTTGTGTTTTGAAGGTTTAAAACAAAATGTCTTCCTTCAGACAAACGTCCTGGAGCATTTCCCCAATATTTTCTTCTACGTGTTTCATAGGTTCAGGCCTTAGACTCACATCTTTAATCCATTTTCATTTGATTTTTGTGTATAGTGACAGGCAGAGGTGCAGTTTCATTCCTCTGCATGTAGATGTCCAGGTTTCCCTGCACTGTTTATTGAAAAGACTGTCCTTTCCTGATTGTGAGTTCTTGGCACCTTTGTCAAAGTCCATTGGATGGGCTGGGCATGGTGGCTGACACCTGCAATTTCAGCACTTTGGGAGCCCGAGGTGGGTGGATCACCTGAGGCCAAGAGTTCAAGATTAGTCTGGCCAACGTGATGAAACATCGTCTCCACTAAAAATATAAAAATTAGCTGAGCATGGTGGTCAGCACCTGTAATACCACTACTCAGGAGTTTGAGGCAAGAGAAGTGATTGAACCCAGGAGGCTGTGGTGGCAGTGAACCGAGATTGCACCTCTGCACTCCAGCCTGGGTGACAGAGCAAGACTCCATCTCAAAAGAAAAACAAAAAATACATTGGAGGTAAATGCATGGATTATATCTGTGTTATTCATTCTGCTCCGTTGTTCTATGTGCCTTTCTTCATGCCAACGTCATGCTGTCTTGCTTACTACAGCTCTGTAACATATTTTGAGATCAGGTAGTGTGATGCTCCTGTTTTCTCTTTATACCTTGAAGTCTCAAGACAGTAGCCGTCACATACAAAAATTACGGAAAAAGGGATCCCAGGACTCCCAGGGCCCAATATTAGATAACAGAGTGTTGGCCATGAACCAACCTCAAAGATTTCCACTGAGTAGAGGACAGACACCCTCATTTCCTCACCTCTCTCCTGTCTCGTGTTCTAGGAAACCCTTCAAATAGTTGGCCTTCACCCACTGAACCAAGCTCCAAAACCGGTGAGTACAGAACCCTCTTATATCCGCTTTTGGAAACCTGGGGAGGTGGAAACCTTGGATTCAGGCGTTGACTCAGCATCTCACAGCTCTGACATTGTACGCCTGTCTTCTACCATCTCCGAACTCCAGATACTCCAACAGCGAAAGGGATCTGGACCCAAAACAGGGCTCAGTGAAATCTCTTAATCTCTCATTTTATGGAGCTGAGATCTCCTACAAGCTAGAAAAATGATTGGCAATCTGACATCCTTCTCAGGAAAAATGCAATGTTTGTTCTGCCTGCATTCCTAACTGGAGGATAAATTCCTGGGGGCTTGAGAGAGGGAAGGGTAGGGAACATTTGATGAGGGCGAGGTGTTTTAGAGAAGTTCCACTTGCCCAGGAATGAATTACTGTTGGTCATGAAGCAACCCTGGCTGACTCAGCAGAGCAAGAGCTTTGCCTTAACAGAGAACGGAGCTCATGCACGCACACTTCGACTCACTGACTCATTCAGCCACGGCCCCATGCTCAGGCCGTGGAAAAGGCAATTCCCAGCACTGCAGGAGGCCAAGGCGGGTGGATCACTTGAAGTCAGGAGTTCCAGACCAGCCTGGCCAAAATGGTGAAACCCTGTCTCTATGAAAAATACAAAAATTAGCCGAGCATGGTGGTGCATCCCTGTAATCCCAGCTCCTACTCTTGAGGATGAAGCAGGAGAAAAACTTCAACCCAGGAGGTGGAGGTTGCAGTGAGTGGAGATTGCATCACTGCACTCCAGCCTGGGTGACACAAGGAGACTCCGTCTCAAAAAATAAAAATAAGAAATGCATAAATATAATAAAACACACACGAATGACAAAGGCACCTGAATTCCAATCATCATTTTTGTATTTCTCTATAATTACTTCTTTGATCCTTTGTCTTATCCATTAGGCAATGAGCCTAAAACCTCTTCCGTATTTGGCTTTCTGTGAGCATGAGACCATATAGAAAATGTGAAAGCCCGCTGAATCCTCCAGCACAGATCGTGGAATAGAGAAAGTGCTCTGTTCATCACAAAAAAAAACTTGCCCTCTCACTCAAATCCCCCACTTCACCCCTACTTCCAATCACCTGTGGAGATTCAGATAGACCATGGGGAGGTAAACATTAATACTCCTTGGAGTGAGTCCAGATCTTGGAATGAGAGATCAGCACCAGCACTAGCTCCTGCTCCCCTTTCCTACTAATTCACAGGAGGACAGGTGGTATTGAAGCAATAGATGGTGGAGGGGGTGGTCCTTCCCCCAGCCTCTCAGGTAGAACAGCAGCCTAACATGTGTCTCCCGAGATCACAAAGAGTAGGACGTTTCACAGGGGCTTCAACACGATTTCCTGGCTGTTGGACATAAGATAACTCTATTTCGCTTTTTTATCTTGATTTCACTTTTGTTTCCTTTCCTTGGAGAACGCAAGTTGTTTGACTCAAGAATGCTGTGGATGTAGAAATCCTAAAGCACATTCGCTGTGTGTCAATCCCAGTGCAGTCTTCCCAGAAAAGACCCTAAACACCTCCTAGACTGCACCTGGGCCTACGCCAATTCCTATCACTCACCGTCACTCCAGGGAGACAGAACACACAGAGAATACGTTACATAGGCAGGTTCATTACTAACAGATAAGCAGCAAGTGAAAACAGAAGCCTACATTTCAATGTGAGCCAGTCCCTCAAGGCTCAGAAAAGCTGCTCGGGACATATGGAGTCACCCCATTTGCAGTGTAGCTGGGGGAAGCCAGAAAGCAGCCCAGCCTGGGTTTTGTACCCTGGAGCCACAGGAAGCACTCAGCTAAAGCACTGCATGACGTCCTCCTCCAGGAAGAACAGGAAGACAGCCCAGGCTGCTCTGGGACGTTCCTCCTGATCTCAGGACGTTGCTGTCTTAGTCCATTTTTGTTGCTCTAAAGGAACACTTGAGCCTGGGCAACTTCTAAAGAAAAGAGATTGGTTTGCCTCACCGTTCTGCAGGCTGTACTGGAAGCATGGCACCAGCATCTATTTCTCGTGATGGCCTCAGGCTGCTCCCACTCTGGCAGAAGGGAAGGAGGGTCTGTCTGTGCAGAGACCACAGAGATCACACGGCAAGAGAGGGAGCAAGGGGGAGGGGGAGCGATGGAGCTTCCAAGTTCTTTTGAACAACCAGCTCTCTGGGAACTAATAGAGGGGGAACTTGCTAACCCCGTCTCCTTGGGACAGCATTGATCTGTTCATGATGGATCCACCTCCATGACCCAAACACCTCTCAAGAGGCCCAACCTCCCACAATGGGGGTGAAATTTCAATGTGAGGTTTGAAGGGGTCAAACATCTCAACTAAAGTAGTTGTATCCTCAGCACATTCTATGGTTACTTTGAGAGCTATAACTGAGAAAGCAGGAGAAAGCTGGGTCTCCCGCCATCTGGGTGCTTGTCCTAAAGAGGTGTTTTACGTGGTTACCTGTCAATCAAGAAATGCGAGACAATTCATAAAGAGGAACTGCTATGATTAGCTTCTTATTGGTGTCTCATCTTCTTCCAGGTAACCCAAGACACCTGCACGTTCTGATTGGGACCTCAGTGGTCATCATCCTCTTCATCCTCCTCGTCTTCTTTCTCCTTCATCGCTGGTGCTCCAACAAGAAAAGTAAGTCTCACGAAGGAGAGGCCAGAGAGCTCAGGGCCATGTGGGGAAGCAGGATGGGAGCACTCAGGTGTGTGTTCCTCACAGGTAGGATGGTCCCTGGCCCAAGGCAGCAGCCACAGAGGCAGGACTTTCTAGAGAGGGCACCAGACTCCCTGTCCCTGCTTTCAGCTCACAGACCGTTGCCTGATTCTGAACTGTATCCTCATGTCCCCTGCAGCCACTCACATCCAGGAGAAGGTTCCATGACAGGCAGAAAGTGGGAGACAGAATCAATGGGATGGGAACTCAGAGCTATTCATGGGATGGGTCCTTGAGCTCAGAGAGATAGAATGTCTGAGTCTGCTGTTGGCAACTGAGGGACCTCAGGCACCTATGGCCTCCCCCTGTTTGTTGGTATCTGCTTATGAAATGAGGACCCAGAAGTGCCCTCCGAGCTCTTTTGTTGACTTCCGTCTCCTACACATGCTGCTGTAATGGACCAAGAGCCTGCAGGGAACAGAACAGCGAATAGCGAGGTAGGTGCTCCTCGGCCCAGCCTCGTGGCTAGTGTTATTCCCAAACAGTCCTGGAAAACGTGAGCACCCTCCCTCACTCAGGATTTCCCTCTCTCCAGGACTCTGATGAACAAGACCCTCAGGAGGTGACATACGTACAGTTGGATCACTGCGTTTTCACACAGAGAAAAATCACTCGCCCTTCTCAGAGGCCCAAGACACCCCCAACAGATACCAGAGTGTACACGGAACTTCCAAATGCTGAGTCCAGATCCAAAGTTGTCTCCTGCCCATGAGCACCACAGTCAGGCCTTGAGGGGATCTTCTAGGGAGACAACAGCCCTGTCTCAAAACCGGGTTGCCAGCTCCCATGTACCAGCAGCTGGAATCTGAAGGCGTGAGTCTGCATCTTAGGGCATCGCTCTTCCTCACACCACAAATCTGAACGTGCCTCTCTCTTGCTTACAAATGTCTAAGGTCCCCACTGCCTGCTGGAGAGAAAACACACTCCTTTGCTTAGCCCACAATTCTCCATTTCACTTGACCCCTGCCCACCTCTCCAACCTTACTGGCTTACTTCCTAGTCTACTTGAGGCTGCAATCACACTGAGGAACTCACAGTTCCAAACATACAAGAGGCTCCCTCTTAACACGGCACTTAGACACGTCCTGTTCCACCTTCCCTCATGCTGTTCCACCTCCCCTCAGAGTATCTTTCAGCCTTCTGTCAGCAGTAAAACTTATATATTTTTTAAAATAATTTCAATGTAGTTTTCCCTCCTTCAAATAAACATGTCTGCCCTCATGGTTTCGGTAATGGGACTCTTTTCTTGCCTAAGACTTCCAGTGTTATCATTACCATGTCCACATAACCCCATCTGTTCTCCACTGGGTTCTCACCCCCGGACTCTGAGTTTCTGGAAGCAGGGTGGAGCCTCATTTGTCTCTGGGACTCCTATTTCCATCCAAAGATGTAGCACATAGGAGGTTCCAAGGATCGTGAATCACATGAACAAGTGATATTCTTACTCTCTGCAGACCTGGAAATCTGGCAGAGTCATTCCAAGATGAAACATTTGTAGAGTCATAGGCCTTGTTAGTCTCATCTACACAGGGACACATATCAACACATCATCTTTCACACTATAAATATACAGTCACTCCTCCATATCTGTGGGGTTTACAGTTCTTTATTGAACCGAGTATAAATCAAAAATATTCAGAGAAAGTATCCACAGAGTTACAAAAAGCAGAACTGTGTTGAATGGACACAAATGAAGCTGTGTGTAGGCTGCATCAGGAATTATAAGTAATCTAGAGATGATTTCATGTATACAGGAGGATGTGCATAGGTTATTTGCAAACTCTGTGCCATTTCATATAAGAGGCTTGAGCATCTACAGATTTTGGTATCTGAGTGGAGATCTCGAAACCAATCACCCAGGAATAGTGAAGGATGACCGTATATGACTTTTATTTCTCAAATTTAAATATAAATCATAAAAAATGTACAACTAGATAAAAACTAAGAAGTGTTTTTATAGTGTGAGTTAGATTTATTTTTTCCTAGGTATAACCCATTGGTTTAATATTATTTATTGAGAAGACATTCTATGCCACCTTAAACCACACGGCAGCCTTTGTCAACTCTAAAGGGACTGTGTGTACACGGATGTACTTTAGACACTGTTTCTGCTAAGGGGCTCTCTGTGTCCACACTCTTGATGATGCTGCACTTTATGTAGCCTTATAGAACCCTTTAAATTTAGTAGCCAGAGCTCTCTAATTTGTTATTATAGGCTATTTGCTTTTTTTTCTTGAGGCGGAGTCTTGCTCTGTCGCCCAGGCTGGACTGCAGTGACACAATCTCAGCTCACTGCAACTTCTGCCTCCCAGGTTCAAGCGATTCTCGTGCCTCAGCCTCTTGAGTAGCTGGCGTTACAGGTGCCTGCCACCAGGCACGGCTAATTTTTGGATTTTTAGCAGAGACACGGTTTCACTATATTGGCCAGGCTGCTCTCAAACTCCTTATCTCAGTTGATCCGCCCACCTCGGCTTCCCAACGTGCTGGGGAAACTTGATTTTCTATAGCATTATGTTACTGGATATTTCTGTAAAATTTAAAATGAGGGAGGGAGAGAGACAGACGGAAAACAAACTCCAGAGTTGGGACTCTGGAATCTTGGGTCATGAGACAAATTTTAGATTAAACTACAAAACTCCAGAATTTACAGGTGGGGTTTTTACTGATAAAGTACAATTCTAAGATTGTAAATAATTGCATAATCCTTCCCTGGGAATTTAAATCATTTTAACTGGTTCTGCTGTAATACTAGAAATACAAGCATGAAAAATTCTAATGGTTTATTAGTGACAATGACTCTGAAAACATTAATAATACCTATTAGATATTTTGCATATTACACAGGAAGAAGAGTTTGAATCTCAGATAAAAACAATAGAAATACATGAAAAGTCTTTCATGTTAGCACAGATTTTAGGCATCTCGTGTTCGGGAGGTTGGATCTCAGACGTGTTTTGAGTTGGTCATAGTGAAGGACACTAGGTGTCAAATTCTAGCGAGAACAATTTCCAGGAAGCCGTGTTCCGCTCTTGAGCGAGCACCCACTGGGCCTCATGCAAGGTAGAAAGAGCCTGCGTACGTCACCCTCCCATGATGTGGTCAACATGTAAACTGCATGGGCAGGGCGCCAAATAACATCCTGTGCGCTGCTGAGCTGAGCTCGGTCGCGGCTGCCTGTCTGCTCCGGCAGCACCATGTCGCTCTTGGTCGTCAGCATGGCGTGTGTTGGTGAGTCCTGGAAAGCAATAGAGGGAGGGAGTGAGGGGATGGAGATCTGGGCCCAGAGGTGGAGATATAGGCCTGGAGGTGGAGTTATGGGCCTGGAGTGGAGATCTGGGCCTGGAGTGGATATATGGGCCTAGAGATGGAGTGATGGGCCTAGAAGTGGAGATCTGGGCCCAGAGGTCGAGATATAGGCCTGGAGGTGGAGTGATGGGACTGTAGTGGAGATCTGGGCCTGGAGTGGAGATAGGAACCTGGAGGGGAGATAGGAACCTGGAGGGGAGATATGGGCCTGGAGGTGGAGATATGGGCCTGGAGTGGAGTCATGGGCCTGGAGGTGGAGTTACGGGCCTGCAGTAGAGATATGGGCCTGAAGTGGAGACATGGGCCTGGAGTGGAGATATGGGCCAGGAGTGGAGATATGGGCCTAGAGGTCGATATCTGGGCCTGGAGTGGAGATATGGGCCAGGAGTGGAGATATGGGCCTAGAGGTCGATATCTGGGCCTGGAGAGGAGATATGTGCCTAGGATGGAGATACGGGCCTGGGTGTGGAGATATGGGACTGGAGAGGATATATGGGCCTGGAGTGGAGATATGGGACTGGAGAGGAGATATGGACCTGGAGTAGAGATAAGGGCCTGGATTGGAGATATGGGCCCAGGGTGGAGATCTGAGCCTGGATTGGAGATATGGGCCTGGATTGGCGATATGGGCTTAGGGTGGAAATATCGGCCTGGAGTGGAGATATGGGCCTGGAGTGGAGATATGGGCTTGAGGTGGGGATATGGACCTGGAGGCTGGGTATCTGCACAGCCGACAGCCCTGTTCTTGGGTGCAGGTAGGCACTGAGGGTGAGTTTACCTTCAGCCCAGGAAGGGCCTGGCTACCAAGACTCACAGCCCAGTGGGGGCAGCAAGGGTGCCCTGGTTTGCCTGCAGATGGGTCATCCATCATGATCTTTCTTTCCAGGGTTCTTCTTGCTGCAGGGGGCCTGGCCACATGAGGGTGAGTCCTTCTCCAAACCTTCGGGTGTCATCTCCCCACATAAGAGGATTTTCCTGAAATGGGAGGGAAGTCCTGTCAGGGAGTCTCTCATAAACTAGGAAGAAGGGACCCTGGGGTGCTGGGCCCACATTTCTGACCTTGCCTCCCTGGCCTTTCATTCCCTTGGCAGAGTCAAGTTCTGTGGGGACCAGGGTTAGACTACGGTGCTCAAAGCTGGGGTGTGTGGTGGGGAAGTGGTAGGAACAGCAGATCCTCTGAGGACAAAGGTGTTACTCAAACACTTCAGTGTTTCCATGACGGTAGGGGCTGCAGTGTGGCTGCTGTCATTCTACCAGAAGAGGTGGGAAAACCACAGCCATGGCCCTGACATTCCAATCCTCTGATGGGGACTCAGTTGTTTATTTTCGTTCAGGCATCGGCTGATATTCCATTCTCAAAGGACATGCCCTCCACCCCATGTCTACCCTGTGTTGTTTTATGTGAGTAATCTTACAGTATTAAAATCTAGTAGGAGTCTCTTACTCAGCACTTGCTCAAAGTTCTCAGCTGACACTTTTGTTGTAGGGAGACACCTTGTGTTTGCGGGATGGGTCCTTCCTTTAGCCCTGGGCACCAAGGTGTGATAGCAGCCATAGAAACTTGGAAAGCGAGGAGAATCTTCAGAGCACAGGGAGGGAGGGGCGGCTCCACATCCTCCTCTCTAAGGCGGTGCCTCCTTCTCCCCAAGGTGGTCAGGACAAGCCCTTGCTGTCTGCCTGGCCAAGCCCTGTGGTGCCTCCAGGACATGTGATTCTTCAGTGTCATTCTTATCTTGGGTTTAACAACTTCAGTCTGTAAAAGGAAGATGGGGTGCCTGTCCCTGAGCTCTACAACATAATATTCTGGAACAGCCTTTTCATGGGCCCTGTGACCCCAGCACACGCAGGGACCTATACATGTCGGGGTTCACAACCACACTACCCCAGTGGGTGGTCGGCACCCAGCAACCCCCTGGAGATCACGGTCACAGGTCAGAGGGCTCCTGTCTGGGATTCTCCTTGTCCCACCTCCTGAATCCCAGAGCTCCTGGTGGGCGTGTCCTTGCGGGTCCCATCATGCAAGTCCTGACTGTATTTGGGGTAAAGGGGGATTGAATACAGGGAAATGGGTGCTGTGGTGGGAAGAATAATTGTCCCCAGTGATGACTACATTCTAATCCCTGGAGTCTGTGACTATTTATGATATAGGGGAAGGGACTGAAGGAGAAGATGGAGCTCAGGTTGTTGATGAGTTGACCTTGAGATGGGGAGACAGCCTGGACTGTCCTGATGGGCTCAGTGTAGTCACAGGGGTCCACATGAAAGGAGGAGGAAGAGGGGAGTGGGGATTACAGCAGCATAATGGGAGTCTCCATCAGCTTTGAAGGTGGAGGAAGTCCAGGAGCCATGAATGCAGGTGGCCTATAGAGGCTGGAAAAGTCAAGGAACTGATTCTCCTGAGTCTCCAGAGGGAACGAAGCCCTGCAGGTGCCTTGATTTTACCCACGACAAACAGGGTCCGATTTCTGTCTCCAGAATTGGAAGGGGTTAGTGTGCTCTCTCCTGGTGCCATGCTTCTGATAATTTTCTACAGCAGCAACAGGAAACCAACACTGGAACCCAGGTCAAGGACAAGTTAAGAAACAACACAAGGATAGCCAGGCATGGTGGCAGGTGCATGTAATCCTAGCGACTTGGGAGGCTGAGGGCAGGAGAATCACTTGAACCCAGGAGACAGAGGTTGCAGTGAGCCTAGACCACACCACTTCACTCCAGCCTGGGCAAAGGAGTGAGACTCTGTCGCCAAAATTAATTAATTAATTAAAGAAACCAAACAAGGAGAAGGTTGGCTACACTGAGATCAGCAAGGCTCAGATGATGATGCCACCACCAGGCTCCATCCACATAGGGAGCGGTTGATACTCCTCCAACCAGCACCAGGAGCCAGCCTATGGAAGCTGGCACTGGCATGGCAAGAGTGGCTCCCAGTCCCTACCAGGAACAGGGTGTGTGGCCACTGGTGCCTGCCTTACTGATCAGTTCATACCTCCTGCCAAGGATTCCAATTCGTCCAAAAGAGATTGAACCAGGCTGCTAAGAGCCTGGATGTGCAGCCTATCCTGGTTCCTCTTCCACCCCCACATAGACAGCAGGAAAGACATTAGTTCGAAATAGATACAACAGCCCAAGAGATGAGGCTGAGCCCAGCGGCAAGGGAATCAGAGGCTACTAGAGACAGAGGGACAGAGAAGAGTGAGGGAGACAGATGGAAGGACCTGCACCAGGAGTTATGGGCACAGAAAAGAACATGAAGACACAGAGAGGAAGGAGAGAGATAAGACACCAGGAAGGGGAAGCCTGACTCAATCCAGGTGCCATGGATGGGATGATAAAGAGAGACACCTTCTAAACTCACAACCTCTCTTCCTAGGAGTCCACAGAAAACCTTCCCTCCTGGCCCACCCAGGTCGCCTGGTGAAATCAGAAGAGACAGTCATCCTGCAATGTTGGTCAGATGTCATGTTTGAACACTTCCTTCTGCACAGAGAGGGGATGTTTAACGACACTTTGCGCCTCATTGGAGAACACCATGATGGGGTCTCCAAGGCCAACTTCTCCATCAGTCGCATGACGCAAGACCTGGCAGGGACCTACAGATGCTACGGTTCTGTTACTCACTCCCCCTATCAGGTGTCAGCTCCCAGTGACCCTCTGGACATCGTGATCATAGGTGAGAGTGTCCAGACTTTCTTCTCATTGTCATTGGGATGCAGAGTGAATGATCCAGGAATTGGAGACCCAGGTGGCTGTAAGGAAGATGAGCTTGGTATTCTTATGGAGAGAGACTGACTTGGTGAGGTCTGTGCCAACAGAGACAGAGAAACAGGAGACACAAGTAGAGACCAGGTGTCATAACAGAGAACAGACACAGGGGCCATACCGGGAGTTAGAAAAGACAGAAAGAGTTAAAGGAGACACACAGACAGACATGTCCCAGAGAGAGGTGTCCCTCCATGCTGACTTTGCTCAGAGACCTGGCACAGGTTAGAAGTTTCATTTCTGTTTTACCTCCACAAAGTGTTCTCTACCAGGAGAACCCAAGGACACCCATATTTCTGACCTGAGTTGGGCCCTGTGGCCTCAGGCCTTGTGGCACCTACAGATGCCATGTTTATTCTGACACCTCTGCCTTCCATGTAATGGAGAGTAATCGTCCCAGGATATCATGGCCCCACAACACCAACCCCTGTATGCTGTGTGAACTTGTAGTCTCCAGACTGGATTCTGAGGCTCATATTCCAAATAAGCCCACTTATGAGAGGATCAGTGAGAGGCACAGAGAGAAATCAGGGACACCAAAAAGCAAAGACATAAACACACAGAGAATGAGCCAGAGGAAGGAGATTGAGAGACTCACAGACACATAAAGAGAGAGAAAAGAGGGCAGAGAAGTGAGAATGATGGAAGGGAGCAGAGAAAAGCACTAAAATTAGACTCCTGAGGGAGAGGCACAAGGACATTGAAAGATGGAGATGTGGGGATGAATTGCAGAGATTCCAAAGAGAACTAGAGAGACCGAGAGGCAGAGCAAGACAGATGATAGATGGATAGATATAGATAGATGATAAATAGGTAGATGATAGATAATAGGTTATAGATACATAGATGATGATTGATTGATTCATTAATAGATGAGACATAGAGATGATGATGATGAAGACAGATAGATAGATAATACATAGAGATACAGAGGCAGACATAGAGAAATCATAGAGAGAGAGAGATGATACATAGATATAGATAATAGATGATTGATGGATAGATAGACAATTGATGGATAAATAGATGATATATAGATATAGATGACAGGTAGAGAATTTGTAGATAGGCACCGAATAGATAAATAGATAGATCGATAGATAATAGATAGAAATATGCAGAAAGTTATGAACAGGACACAAAGTGAGAAACTCAGAATTAAAAAAAGTAACATCAAGTCAACCAATCCAAGGAGAGTCAGAGAGAATAAAACAATCCAAAAAGAGAAAACATATCTAGAGGTGGGGAAGTGAGGTCAGAGACCTAGAGAGACAGAGAAGGTGGAAGGAGGAAATAGACATGAAGAGCGATGGGGTAGAGGGTGAGAGAGAGAGAGAGAGAGCATTAGGTCATAGAACAGGGGAGTGAGTTCTCAGCTCAGGTGAAGGGAGCTGTGACAAAGAAGATCCTCCCTGAGGAAACTGCCTCTTCTCCTTCCAGGTCTATATGAGAAACCTTCTCTCTCAGCCCAGCCGGGCCCCACGGTTCTGGCAGGAGAGAATGTGACCTTGTCCTGCAGCTCCCGGAGCTCCTATGACATGTACCATCTATCCAGGGAAGGGGAGGCCCATGAACGTAGGCTCCCTGCAGGGCCCAAGGTCAACGGAACATTCCAGGCTGACTTTCCTCTGGGCCCTGCCACCCACGGAGGGACCTACAGATGCTTCGGCTCTTTCCATGACTCTCCATACGAGTGGTCAAAGTCAAGTGACCCACTGCTTGTTTCTGTCACAGGTGAGGAAAGCCCATGGCTGTCCCATGTCCTATGATCCTAGAGCCTTAGCTGAGGAGCTTCCTGCTGAGGATGGAGAGAAGCATGGACAGATGCAGAGAGAAGACGCAGCCTCGGTGTGAGGGAGGGATCAGGGCACAGGATGGCCGACAGGGCACCTCCAAACCCTCCTACATGGCCTGCATGGAGGCCCACGGCCAGGGCTCCAGGCACCCAGGCAGATGGAGAAAGCGGTCAGGAGAGACCCAGAGGAGGGAGACTGGGCTCAGTTTGGGGAGATCAGAGGTTCCCTCAGCCCCTCAACCTTACCCATTTCCCAGAAGCCCATCCTGGCCTCTCACCCACACAGAGATGTCATCACCAGCAACCCCTACACCCTTTACTTTTCTTTGAAGAAATATTTATTGAGGATAAATATACCTATATAGCTTACCACTTTTAACATTTTTTTTTGAGGTGGAGTCTAGCTCTGTCCCCTATGATGGAGTGCAGTGGCACAATCTCAGCTCACTGCAACCTCCGCCTCATGGGTTCAAGCGATTCTCCTGCCTCAGCCACCTGAGTAGCTAGTGCTACAGGCACGCACCACCACGCCAGGCTACTTTTTGTATTTTTAGTAGAGAGGTGGTTTCACCATGTTGGTCGAGCTGGTCTCGAACTCCTGACCACGTGATCCACCCGCATCAGCCTCCCAAAGTGCTGGGATTACAGGCATGGGCCACCAGGCCCAGCCACATTTACCATTTTTAAGTGTAAAGTCTAGTGGTCATAAATACATTTTTATATATATATATATATACATTTTTTTTACCCTCCACCCTTTTCTTCCTGTCCTCCAGTAGCCACCATTCTACTCTCTACCTTCATGAGATCCACCTTTTAGCTCCTGTATATGGGTGAGAAATGGGAATCTTTTTAATGACCTCCAGTTCCATCCATGTGGCTGCAAATGACAGGATGTTATTCTTTCTATGGATGAGTAGTCTCCACTGTGCGTATGTACTACATTCTCTCTATCCATTCACCCACTGATGGGCAGGTAGGTTGACTCCTCATCTTGGCTACTGTGAACAGTGCTGCACCAATCATACGAGTGCAGATATCACTTCGATATGTTGATTTACTTTCCTTTGGATATAAACCCAGTAGTGAAATTGCTGGATACTATGAAAGTTCTCTTTTTTTCTTTTTTTCTTTTTTGAGAAAGAGTTTCCCTCCTTAGCCCAAGCTGGAGTCAAAGTGGTGCAACCTTGGCTCATTGCAACCTCCGCCTCCTGGGTTCAAATGATTTTCCTGCCTCAGCCTCCCTAGTAGCTGGGATTACAGGTGCACACCACCATGCCTGGCTACTTTTTGGTTTTTTTAGTATAGATGGGGTTTCCCCATGTTGGCTGGGCTGCTCTCAAACTCATGACCTCAACTGAGGTGCCCGCCTCAGTCTCCCAAAGTGCCGGGATTACAGGCATGATCCACCTCACCCAACCTCTTTTTAGTTCTTTAAAGGACTTCCATACTTTTCTCCGTAATGGCTGTACTAATTTACACTCCTCCCAACAGGGTACCAGGGTTCTCCTTTCTCTACCACCTTGCCAGCATTTCTTTTGCCTGTCTTGCAGCTAAAAGCCATTTTATTTTATTTCATTTTATTTTGAGATGGAGTTTTGCTCTTCTCACCCAGGCTGGAGTGCAGTGGCGCTATCTCGGCTCACCACAACCTCCACCTCCCAGGTTCAAGCGATTCTCCTGCCTCAGCCTCCCGAGTAGCTGGAATTACAGGCACACGCCACCACGCCCTACTAATTTTTGTATTTTTAGTAGAGACAGCGTTTCTCTATGTGGGTCAGACTGGTCTCAAACTCCCAACCTTATGAGATTCACCCACCTCAGGTTCTCAAAGTTCTAGGATGACACAAGTGAGCCACCTCACCCGGCCTAAAAGCCATTTTAATGGGGTGAGATGAAAACTCACTTTGATTTTAATTTGCGTTTCTCTGATGATGAGTGATACTGAGCACTTTTTCGTATGTGGGGAAATTTCATGTCTTTTGCTCCTTTTTCAATTAAATCATTTGTTTTATTGAGTTGTTTGAGCTTCTTATATTTCTAGTTATTAATCCCATCTCAGATGCATAGTTTGCACATATTTGCTCCCAATCTGTGGGTTGTCTCTTCACTTTGTTGGTTTATTTTTAGCAGTGCTGAAGTTGCTTAGTTTGAGGTAATCCCAATGGTCTATTTTTGCTTCGATTACTTGTGTTTTGAAGGTTTAAAACAAAATGTCTTCCTTCAGACAAACGTCCTGGAGCATTTCCCCAATATTTTGTTCTACGTGTTTCATAGGTTCAGGCCTTAGACTCACATCTTTAATCCATTTTCATTTGATTTTTGTGTATGGTGACAGGTAGAGTTGCAGTTTCATTCCTCTGCATGTAGATGTCCAGGTTTCCCTGCACTGTTTATTGAAAAGACTGTCCTTTCCTGATTGTGAGTTCTTGGCATCTTTGTCAAAGTCCATTGGATGGGCTGGGCTTGGTGGCTAACACCTGCAATTTCAGCACTTTGGGAGCCCGAGGTGGGTGGATCACCTGAGGCCAGGAGTTCAAGATTAGTCTGGCCAACGTGATGAAACATCGTCTCCACTAAAAATATAAAAATTAGCTGAGCATGGTGGTCAGCACCTGTAATACCACTACTCAGGAATTTGAGGCAAGAGAATGATTGAACCCAGGAGGCTGAGGTTGCAGTGAACCGAGATTGCACCTCTGCACTCCAGCCTGAGTGACAGAGCAAGACTCCATCTCAAAAGAAAAAATAAAAAACCATTGGATGTAAATGCATGGAATATATCTGTGTTATTCATTCTGCTCCGTTGTTCTATGTGCCTTTCTTTACGCCAATGTCATGCTATTTTGCTTACTACAGCTCTGTAACATATTTTGAGATCAGGTAGTGTGATGCTCCTGTTTTCTCTTTATATCTTGAAGTCTCAAGACAGTGGGTGTCATATAAAAAAATTATGGAAAAAAGGATCCCAGGACTCCCAGGGCCCAATATTAGATAAGAGAGTGTTGGCCATGAACCATCCTCAAAGATTTCCACTGAGTGGAGGACAGACACCCTCATTTCCTCACCTCTCTCCTGTCTCATGTTCTAGGAAACCCTTCAAATAGTTGGCCTTCACCCACTGAACCAAGCTCCAAAACCGGTGAGTACAGAACCCTCTTATATCCGCTTTTGGAACCCTGGGGAGGTGGGAACCTTGGATTCAGGCGTTGACTCAGCATCTCACAGCTCTGACATTGTACACTTGTCTTCCACCATCTCCGAACTCCAGATACTCCTACAGCGAAAGGGATCTGGGCCCAACACAGGGCTCAGTGAAATCTCTTCATCTCTCATTTTATGGAGCTGAGACCTCCTACAAGCTAGAAGAATGATTGCCAATCTGACATCCTTCTCAGGAAAAATGCAATGTTTGTTCTACCTGCATTCCTAACTGGAGGATAAATTCCTGGAGACTTGAGAGAGGGAAGGGAAGGGAACATCTGATGAGGGCAAGGTGTTTTAGAGAAGTTCCACTTGCCAAGGAATGAGCTCCTGTAGGTCATGAAGCAACCCTGGCTGACTCCGCAGAGAAAGAGCCTTGCCGTAACAGAGAACAGAGCTCATGCACGCACATTTCGACTCACTGACTCATTCAGCCACGGCCCCATGCTCAGGCTGTGCAGTGTGGAACCTTTTCCTATTGTTGCCATAACAAATTTCCACAAGATTCGTGGGTGAAAACAAAACGGTTTTTTAATTATCTTACAGTGCTGTAGCTCAAAGTAGGAAGTGCATCTTACTGGGCTAAAATCAAGGTGACAGCAAGGCTGCCTTCCCTCTGAGGATTCCAGGCACGAATCTGCTTCTCACTTGTCCCAGCTTCTAAAGGCTCCCAGTTCCTTGGCTCCTGGTCCCCTTCCTCCTTCCTCAAAGCCCACAAAGACTGGTCACATCTCACATGGCATCACTCAGTGCCTTCTTCCTTACCACACCTCTTTCTCTGAGTGCTGCTCTCCCTTCTTCCTCATCTTTTGAAAACTTGGGGATTCTATTGGGTTCACCAAGATGAAAATCCCTCATAATCTCCTGGAAATCATCCAGGATACCCTTGTTTTAAGTTCAGCTGATTAGCAACCATAATTCCATCTGCAATCTTCATTCCTCCTTTCCATGTAAAATAACATATTCACAAGCTGTGGAGGCTAGGACAGGGACATTTTGGGGTGGGACAGCATTCTCCTGCCTTCCACAAACAGTGAACAAGATGCATTTGGCCTCTGCCCTTGGGACACTGATATTGCAGATGGTTAAATGGGAGGGCAGAAAATGAACGCACAAGTGGATCTATAAATGAATGGTCCATTGGGAAGCATCTGTGCATGAAATCTATTTTTTGTTTGTTCTTTTGTTTATTGAGACAGAGTCGCCCTCTGTCTTCCAGGCTACAGTGCAGTGTCACGATCTTGGCTCACTGCAACCTGCGTCTCCTGGATTCAAGGGATTCTCCTGCCTCCGCCTCTCGAGTAGCTGGGATTACAGGCAACTGCCACCGTGCCCGGCTAATTCTTTTTGTATATTTTTTGTAGAGAGGATGTTTCACCACGTTGGCCAAGCTTGTCTGAAACTCCCAACCTCAAGTGATCCGACCGTCTCAGCATGCCAAAGTAATGGGACTACAGGCGTGAGCCACTGTGCCCAGCCAGAATTCAAAATCAATAATAGATAATGCTGAGTGTATGATTTCAGGTGACAAAGAAGGTCTCACTATTCAGATATTTGTGACATTAATGAAAAACACGGAATGAACCCCTGAAAGATTGGCGGAAGGATTTTGCACACACAGCTGTCAGCCATGAAGGCACAAAGGTGAAAACAATCTGATGTGGAAGGAAGAGGCTCTGACTCAAATGCTGGGAATGAGGTGGGGAGAATGACAAGACGACTGTAGAGAGACGGAGAGCACACTGGGTACACAGGAAACTAAGGAGGAACAAGGAGTGTGTGTTTGACACTCACAGCCATTGGATTCACCTCGGGGTAACCAGGAATCCCTACATGATTAATATGACTGACATGAAAATAAGGGAGGCCCAGGTGCATAACTGGAATCTAGGAGACCGTGGAAAAGGCAATTGCCGCCCCACTGGTGAAATGTGGTGCTGATTTAGACACTAAATGAATGAAGTAGATGGATATAAGATATGTTTGTGAGGTAGAATCATTGACTGGAAAGGCTTACTGGGTTTGATTTTCCTACTTGTTTAATCCTCGCTTAATTAATTTCTTTCTGAGATTTATTCATCCTACACATAAATCAATACCTGGCAAAGGAGTGACAGATATATGAGTGGTGGTGGAAATGAAGAGACTTATTATAGCATAATATACAAGTCTGTGAACAGTGGCTCACGCCTGTAACCTAGCACTGCAGGAGGCCAAGGTGGGTGGATTCCATGAAGTCAGGAGTTCCAGACCAGCCTGGCCAACGTGGTGAAACCCTATCTCTACTAAAAATACAAAAATTAGCCGAGCACGATGGTGCATCCCTGTAATCCCAGCTCCTATTCTGGAGGATGAAGCAGGAGAATGACTTCAACCCAGTAGGTGGAGGTTGCAGTGAGTGGAGATTGCATCACTGCACTCCAGCCTGGGGGACACAAGGAGACTCTATCTCAAAAAATAAAAATAAGAAATACATAAATATAATAAAACACACACGAATGACAAAGGCACCTGAATTCCAATCATGATTTTTCTATTTCTCTATAATTACTTCTTTGATCCTTTATCTTATCCATTAGGCAATGAGCCTAAAACCTCTTCCCTATTTGGCTTTCTGTGAGCATGAGATCATATAGAAAATGTGAAAGCCCGCTGAATCCTCCAGCACAGATCCTGGAATAGAGAAAGTGCTCTGGTCATCACAAAAAAAACTTGCCCACTCACCCAAATCCCCCACCTCACCCCTACTTCCAATCACCTGTGGAGATTCAGATAGACCATGGGGAGGTAAACATTAACACTCCTTGGAGTGAGTCCAGATCTTGGAATCAGAGATCAGCGACAGCACTAGCTCCTGCTCCCCTTTCCTACTAATTCACAGGAGGACAGGTGGTTTTGAAGCAATAGATGGCCGAGGGGGTGGTCCTTCCCCCAGCCTCTCGGGTAGAACAGCAGCCTAATATGTGTCTCCCGAGATCACAAAGAGCAGCAGGTTTCACACGGGCTTCAACACTATTTCCTGGCCGTTTGACATAAGAGAATTCTATTTCGCTTTTTTTATCTTGATTTCACTTTTGTTTTCTTTCCTTGGAGAATGCAAGTTGTTTGATTCAAGAATGCTGTGGATGTAGAAACCCTAAAGCACATTCGCTGTGAATCAATCCCAGTCCAGTCTTCCCAGAGAAGACTCTAAACACCTCCTGGACTGCACCTGGGCCTATGCCAATTCCTATCACTCACCGTCACTCCAGGGAGACAGAACACACAGAGAATACGTTACATAGGCAGGTTCATTACTAACAGATAAGCAGCGAGTGACAACAGAAACCTATATTTCAATGTGACCCAGTCCCTCAAGGCTCAGAAAAGCTCCTCGGGACATATGGAGTCACCCCATTTGCAGTGTAGCTGCGGGAAGCCAGAAAGCAGCCCAGCCTGGGTTTTGTACCCTGGAGCCACAGGAAGCACTCAGCTAAAGCACTGCATGACGTCCTCCAGGAAGAACAGGAAGACAGCCCAGGGTGTTCTGAGACGTTCCTCCTGATCTCAGGAAGTTGCTGTCTTAGGCCATTTTTGTTGCTCTAAAGGAACACTTGAGCCTCGGTAACTTCTAAAGAAAAGAGATTGGTTTGCCTCACCGTTCTGCAGGCTGTACTGGAAGCATGGCACCAGCATCTATTTCTCGTGACGGCCTCAGGCTGCTCCCACTCTGGCAGAAGGGAAGGAGGGTCTGTCTGTGCAGAGACCACAGAGATCACACGGCAAGAGAGGGAGCAAGGGGGAGGGGGAGTGATGGAGCTTCCAAGCTCTTTTTAACAACCAGCTCTCCGGGAACTAATAGAGGGGGAACTTGCTAACCCCGTCTCCTTGGGACAGCATTGATGTGTTCATGATGGATCCACCTCCATGACCCAAACACCTCTCAAGAGGCCCAACCTCCCACAGTGGGGGTGAAATTTCAATGTGAGGTTTGAAGGGGTCAAACATCTCAACTAAAGTAGTCGTATCCTCAGCACGTTCTATGGTTACTATGAGAGCTATAACTGAAAAAGCAGGAGAAAGCTGGGTCTCCTGCCATCTGGGTGCTTGTCCTAAAGAGGTGTTTTATGTGGTTACCTGTCAATCAAGAAATGCGAGACAATTCATAAAGAGGAACTGCTAAGATTAGCTTCTTATTGGTGTCTCATCTTCTTCCAGGTAACCCCCGACACCTGCACATTCTGATTGGGACCTCAGTGGTCATCATCCTCTTCATCCTCCTCTTCTTTCTCCTTCATCGCTGGTGCTCCAACAAAAAAAGTAAGTCTCACGAAGCAGAGGCCAGAGAGCTCAGGGCCATGTGGGGAAGCAGGATGGGAGCACTCAGGTGTGTGTTCCTCACAGGTAGGATGGTCCCTGGCCCAAGGCAGCAGCCACAGAGGCAGGACTTTCTAGAGAGGGCACCAGACTCCCTGTCCCTGCCTTCAACTCACAGACCGTTGCCTGATTCTGAACTGTATCCTCATGTCCCCTGCAGCCACTCACATCCAGGAGAAGGTTCCATGACAGGCAGAAAGTGGGAGACAGAATCAATGGGATGGGAACTCAGAGCTATTCATGGGATGGGTCCTTGAGCTCAGAGAGATAGAATGTCTGAGTCTGCTGTTGGCAACTGAGGGACCTCAGCCACCTATGGTCTCCCCCTGTATGTTGGTATCTGCTTATGAAATGAGGACCCAGAAGTGCCCTCCGAGCTGTTTTGTTGACTTCCGTCTTCTACAGATGCTGCGGTAATGGACCAAGAGTCTGCAGGAAACAGAACAGCGAATAGCGAGGTAGGTACTCCTCGGCCCGGGCTCGTGGCTACTGTTATTCCCAAAGAGTCCTGGAAAATGTGAGCACCCTCCCTCACTCAGCATTTCCCTCTCTCCAGGACTCTGATGAACAAGACCCTCAGGAGGTGACATACACACAGTTGAATCACTGCGTTTTCACACAGAGAAAAATCACTCGCCCTTCTCAGAGGCCCAAGACACCCCCAACAGATATCATCGTGTACACGGAACTTCCAAATGCTGAGTCCAGATCCAAAGTTGTCTCCTGCCCATGAGCACCACAGTCAGGCCTTGAGGGCGTCTTCTAGGGAGACAACAGCCCTGTCTCAAAACCGGGTTGCCAGCTCCCATGTACCAGCAGCTGGAATCTGAAGGCATGAGTCTGCATCTTAGGGCATCGCTCTTCCTCACACCACAAATCTGAATGTGCCTCTCACTTGCTTACAAATGTCTAAGGTCCCCACTGCCTGCTGGAGAAAAAACACACTCCTTTGCTTAGCCCACAGTTCTCCATTTCACTTGACCCCTGCCCACCTCTCCAACCTAACTGGCTTACTTCCTAGTCTACTTGAGGCTGCAATCACACTGAGGAACTCACAATTCCAAACATACAAGAGGCTCCCTCTTAACGCAGCACTTAGACACGTGTTGTTCCACCTTCCCTCATGCTGTTCCACCTCCCCTCAGACTAGCTTTCAGTCTTCTGTCAGCAGTAAAACTTATATATTTTTTAAAATAACTTCAATGTAGTTTTCCATCCTTCAAATAAACATGTCTGCCCCCATGGTTTCGGTAATGGGACTCTTTTCTTGCCTAAGGCTTCCGGTGTTATCAGTACCATGTCCATATAATCCCATCTGTTCCCCACTGAGTTCTCATCCCCGGACTCTGAGTTTCTGGAAGCAGGGTGGAGCCTCATTTGTCTCTGGGACTCCAATTTCCATCCAAAGATGTAGCACATAGGAGGTTCCAAGGATCACGAATCATATGAACAAGTGATACTCTTACTCTCTGCAGACCTGGAAAGCTGGCAGAGTCATTCCACAATGAAACATTTGTAGAATCATAGGCCTTGTTAGTCTCATCTCCATGGGGACACATATCAACACATCATCTTTCATAATATAAATATACGGTCACTCCTCCATATCTGCGGGGTTTACAGGTGTTTATTGAACCAAGTATAAATCAAAAATATTGAGAGAAAGTATCCACAGAGTTTCAAAAAGCATAACTATGTTGAATGGACACAAATGAAGCTGTGTGTAGGCTGTATCAGGAATTATAAGTAATCTAGAGATGATTTCATGTATACAGGAGGATGTGCATAGGTTATTTGCAAACGCTGTGCCATTTCATATAAGAGGCTTGAGCATCTACAGATTTTGGTATCTGAGTGGAGATCTCAAAACCAATCACCCACGAATAGTGAAGGATGACCGTATATGACTTTTATTTCTCAAATTTAAATATAAATCATAAAAAATGTACAACTAGATAAAAACTAAGAAGTGTTTTTATAGTGTGAGTTAGATTTATTTTTTCCTAGGTGTAACCAATTGGTTTAATATTATTTATTGAGAAGACATTCTATGCCACCTTAAACCACATGGCAGCCTTTGTCAACTCTAAAGGGACTGTGTGTACATGGATGTATTTTAGACACTGTTTCTGCTAAGGGGCTCTCTGTGTCCACACTCTTGATGATGCTGCACTTTATGTAGCCTTATAGAACCCTTTAAATTTAGTAGCCAGAGCCCTCTAATTTGTTATTATAGGCTGTTTGCTTTTTTTTTCTTGAGGCGGAGTCTTGCTCTGTCGCCCAGGCTGGACTGCAGTGGCACAATCTCAGCTCACTGCAACCTCCGCCTCCCAGGTTCAAGCGATTCTCGTGCCTCAGCCTCTTGAGTAGCTGGCGTTACAGGTGCCTGCCACCAGGCACGGCTAATTTTTGGATTTTTAACAGAGACACGGTTTCACTATATTGGCCAGGCTGCTCTCAAACTCCTTATCTCAGTTGATCCGCCCACCTCGGCTTCCCAACGTGCTGGGGAAAACTTGATTTTCTATAGCATTATGTTACTGGATATTTCTGTAAAATTTAAAACGAGGGAGGGAGAGAGACAGACAGAGAGCAAACTCCAGAGTTGGGACTCTGGAATCTTGGGTCATGAGACAAATTTTAGATTAAACTACAAAACTCCAGAATTTACAGGTGTGGTTTTTGCTGATAAAGTACAATTCTAAGATTGTAAATAATTGCATAATCCTTCCCTGGGAATTTAAATCATTTTAGCTGGTTCTGCTGTAATACTAGAAATACAAGCATGAAAAATTCTAATGGTTTATTAGTCACAATGACTCCGAAAACATTAATAATACCTATTAGATACTTTGCATATTACACAGGAAGAAGAGTTTGAATCTCAGATAAAAACAAAAAAAATACATGAAAAGTCTTTCATGTTAGCACAGATTTTAGGCATCTCGTGTTCGGATAAAAATACATGAAAAGTCTTTCACGTTAGCACAGATTTTAGGCATCTTGTGTTCGGGAGGTTGGATCTGAGACGTGTTGTGAGTTGGTCATAGTGAAGGACGTGAGGTGCCAATTCTAGTGAGAACAATTTCCAGGAAGCCGTGTTCCGCTCTTGAGCAAGCATCCACTGGGCCTCATGCAAGGTAGAAAGAGCCTGCGTACGTCACCCTCCCATGATGTAGTCAACATGTAAGCTGCATGGGCAGGGCGCCAAATAACATCCTGTGCGCTGCTGAGCTGAGCTGGGGCGCGGCCGCCTGTCTGCACCGGCAGCACCATGTCGCTCATGGTCGTCAGCATGGCGTGTGTTGGTGAGTCCTGGAAAGGAATAGAGGGAGGGAGTGCCACATCCTCCTCTCTAAGGTGGCGCCTCCTTCTCCCCCAGGTGGTCAGGACAAGCCCTTCCTCTCTGCCTGGCCCAGCCCTGTGGTGTCTGAAGGAGAACATGTGGCTCTTCAGTGTCGCTCTCGTCTTGGGTTTAACGAATTCAGTCTGTCCAAAGAAGACGGGATGCCTGTCCCTGAGCTCTACAACAGAGTATTCCGAAACACCGTTTTCATAGGCCCTGTGACCCCAGCACATGCAGGGACCTACAGATGTCGGGGTTCACACCCACACTTCCTCACTGGGTGGTCAGCACCCAGCAACCCCCTGGTGATCATGGTCACAGGTCAGAGGGCTCCTGTCTGGGATTCTCCTTGTCCCACCTCCTGAGTCCCAGAGCTTCTGGTGGGAGTGTCCACCAGCGTCCCATCATCCAGACCCTAACTGTATTTGGGGTAAAAGGGGATTGAATACAGGGAAATGGGTGCTGTGGTGGAAAGAATAATTGTCCCCAATGATGACTGCATTCTAATCCCTGCAGTCTGTGACTATTTATGTTATAGGGGAAGGCACTGAAGGGGAAGATGGAGCTCAGGTTGTTGAGTTGACCTTGAGATGGGGAGACAGCCTGGACTGTCCTGCTGGGCTCAGTGTAATCACAAGGGTGCACATGAGAGGAGAAGGAAGAGGGGAGTGGTGATTAGAGCAGTGCAATGGAAGTCTCCATCAGCTTTGAAGGTGGAGGAAGGCCATGAGCCATGAATGCAGGTGGCCTATAGAGGCTGGAAAAGTCAAGGAACTGATTCTCCTGGGTCTCCAGAGGGAACGCAGCCCTGCAGATGCCTTGATTTTAGCCCTCAAAAAACAGGGTCCGATTTCTGTCTCCAGAAACGGAAGGGGTCAGTGTGCTCTCTCCTGCTGCCATGCTTCTGATAATTTTCCACAGCACCAACAGGAAACCAACACTGGAACCCAGGTCAAGGACAAGATAAGAAAGGACACAAGGATAGCCGGGCGTGGTGGCAGGTGCATGTAATCCTAGCAACTCAGGAGGCTGAGGGCAGGAGAATCACTTGAACCCAGGAGACAGAGGTTGCAGTGAGCCTAGACCACACCACTTCACTCCAGCCTGGGTGAAGGAGTGAGACTCTGACTCCAAAATTAATTAATTAATTAAAGAAACCAAACAAAGAGAAGGTTGGCTACACCGAGATCAGCAAGGGTGGGATGATGATGCCACCACCAGGCTCCATCCACATAGGGAGGGGTTGATACTCCTCAAACCAGCACCAGAAGCCAGCCTATGGAAGCTGGCACCATGGAGAAGGCACAGGCATGGCAAGAGTGGCTCCCAGTCCCCACCAGGAACAGGGTGTGTGGACACTGGTGCCTGCCTTACTGATCAGTTCATACCTTCTGCCAAGGATTCCAATTCGTCCAAAAGAGATTGAACCAGTCTGCTAAGAGCCTGGACGTGCAGCCTATCCTGGTTCCTCTTCCACCCCCACATAGAAGCAGGAAAGACATTAGTTCGAAATAGATACAACAGCCCAAGAGATGAGGCTGAGCCCAGCGGCAAGGGAATCAGGAGCTACTAGAGACAGAGGGACAGAGAAGAGGGAGGGAGACAGATGGAAGGACCTGTACCAGGAGTTATGGGCACAGAAAAGAACATGAAGACACAGAGAGGAAGGAGAGAGATAAGACACCAGCGAGGGGAAGCCTCACTCATTCTAGGTGCCATGGATGGGATGATAAAGAGAGATGCCTTCTAAAGTCACAACCTCTCTTCCTAGGAGTCCACAGAAAACCTTCCCTCCTGGCCCACCCAGGTCCCCTGGTGAAATCAGAAGAGACAGTCATCCTGCAATGTTGGTCAGATGTCATGTTTGAGCACTTCCTTCTGCACAGAGAGGGGAAGTTTAATGACACTTTGCGCCTCACTGGAGAGCTCCATGATGGGGTCTCCAAGGCCAACTTCTCCATCGGTCGCATGACGCAAGACCTTGCAGGGACCTACAGATGCTACGGTTCTGTTCCTCATTCCCCCTATCAGTTGTCAGCTCCCAGTGACCCTCTGGACATCGTGATTACAGGTGAGAGTGTCTGGACATTATTCTCATTGTCACTGGGACACAGAGTGAATGATCCACGACTTGGAGGCCCAGGTGGTTATAAGGAAGATGAGCTTGGTATTCTTATGGAGAGAGACTAACTTGGTGAGGTCTGTACCAACAGAGACAGAGAAACAGGAGACACAAGTACAGACCAGGTGTCATAACAGAGGACAGACACAGGGGCCATACAGGGAGTTAGAAAAGACAGAAAGAGTTAAAGGAGACACAGACAGACATGTGCCAGAGAGAGGTGTCCTTCCATGCTGACTTTGCTCAGAGACCTGGCACAGGTTAGAAGTTTCATTTCTGTTTTACTTCCACAAAGTGTTCTCTACCAGAAGAACCCAAGGACACCCATATTTCTGGCCTGAGTTGGGCCCTGTGGCCTCAGGCCTTCTGGCACCTACAGATGCCGTGTTTATTCTGACACCTCTGCCTTCCATGCAATGGAGAGTAATCGTCCCAGGATATCATGGCCCCAGAACATCAACCCCTGTATACTGTGTGAACTTGCGGTCCCCAGACTGGATTCTGAGGCTCACATTCCAAATAACCCCACATATGAGAGGATCACTGAGAGACACAGAGAGAAATCAGGGACACCAAAAAGCAAAGACATAAACACACAGAGAATGAGCCAGAGGAAGGAGATTGAGAGACTCACAGACACATAAAGAGGGAGAAAAGAGGGCAGAGAAGTGGAGAGAACAATGGAAGGGAACAGAGAAAAGCACTAAAATTAGAGTCCTGAGGGAGAGACACAAGGACATAGAAAGATGGAGATGTGGGGATGAATTGCAGAGATTCCAAAGAGAACTAGAGAGACCGAGAGGCAGAGCAAGACAGATGATAGATGGATAGATATAGATAGATGATAAATAGGTAGATGATAGATAATAGGTTATAGATACATAGATGATGATTGATTCATTCATTGATTAATCGATGATACATAGAGATGATGAAGATGAAGATAGATAGATAATACATAGAGATAGAGAGGCAGACAAAGAGAAATCATAGAGAGAGAGAGATGATACATAGATATAGATAATAGATGATTTTTGGATAGACAATTGATAGATAAATAGATTATATATAGATATAGATGACAGGTAGAGAATTTGTAGATAGGCACCAAATAGATAAATAGATATATCGATAGATAATAGATAGAAATATGCAGAAAGTTATGAACAGGACACAAAGTGAGAAACTCAGAATTTAAAAAAAGTAACATCAAGTCAACTAGTCCAAGGAGAGTCAGAGAGAATAAAACAATCCAAAAAGGGAAAACATATCTAGAGGTGAGAAAGTGAGGTCAGAGACCTAGAGAGACAGAGAAGGTGGAAAGAGGAAATAGACATAAAGAGAGATGGTGTGGAGGGTGAGACAGAGAGAGAGAGCATTAGGCCATAGAGCAGGGGAGTGAGTTCTCAGCTCAGGTGGGAGGGGAGTTGTGACAAGGAAGAACCTCCCTGAGGAAACTGCCTCTTCTCCTTCCAGGTCTATGTGGGAAACCTTCTCTCTCAGCCCAGCCGCGCCCCATGGTTAAGGCAGGAGAGAGCGTGACCTTGTCCTGCAGCTCCCGGAGCTCCTATGACATCTACCATCTATCAAGGGAGGGGGAGGCTCATGAACTTAGGTTCCCTGCAGTGCCCAAGGTCAATGGAACCTTCCAGGCCAACTTTCCTCTGGGCCCTGCCACCCACGGAGGGACCTACAGATGCTTCGGCTCTTTCCGTGACTCTCCCTACGAGTGGTCAGACCTTAGTGACCCACTGCTTGTGTCTGTCACAGGTGAGGAAACCAGTCTGTTCCCCAAATAGTGGGACTCAGATGGACTACAATGGCCACATTCAGGGGAGCCTCAGATGGAGGGGGTGGCCATGGGGGTGTCAGCCAGAGACGCTGGATAGAAGACACACAAAGCAAACATACAGAAAGAGGCATAGACAGACAGACAGAGCGAGGCAGACAGATCACATTAGGGTTTGGGGTGGTAACTGCAACCCTACCTGAAGCTTGCAGATAGAGCACAGGCCACATAAACCACTTCCCAGTCTTTGTACAGAAGCCCACCTGGGACACATGTAAACAGCATCAATGCTGACTCAGGAGCATGAAAGGCCGGGCTCAGATTGGAAAGACTAGAGGTAGCATTGGCCGCCCGCCATTGCCCATTTCCAGAAGCCCCCACCTCTCACCAAAGAGTGATTTCCACATGGGGGGCACAGATGCAACCATCGTTGGGGGAGCCCCAATGTCTCTTGATGGGAGGCATTTTCCACCCTAGATGTTTTTTGCTCTCTCCACACCTTGGAGACTCAGTGGGGGAGTCTTCTCTGGGGACTCGGGGAGGGCCTCCCTGGGACTCGCAGGATTTCCAAGCTAGATGACAACATGACAGGTGGAAACAGGCCCATTCCTTCGCCAGGGGCCCCAAGCTCCATCCCAGGAGATGAGAAGAGGCTCTTCTCATTGGTCAGTGGATCCCTGAGGGGACAGAGGCTCAGCACTGAAGGCTGAGAAGGATCTGCCACTTCGCTCAGTGGCCTCAAGCCAGACATCTTCCCTACAGACTTGCAGTGATTCTCCATCAGCATTTAGGGCTGTGGCCACCAACCTGGGTGTTGGTCTGTAGGAACTTTTCATTTCTGACCTTCCATAACTGAGTTCTCTTCCTAAATGTGGAATGCCTTGTACTCCATGTTACTCTCTCCCCAGAAAGAATGTGTGGCTTGTCTGCTCTCCAGCCCTGTCATGGAGATTGATAATCCTTAGGGAGCAAGAGGAGAGGGAAAGAACAAAGTATGAGACCACCTAGGTGCTACTGGTTGAGGTTCCATTTGCCAGTGAAGGGACTTCACTCAGCCGAGGGGGCAACTCAGGGAAGTCAGCCGAGGGAGGGCATTAGAGTAGAGAGAACTGAGCTCACCCAGTAAATGACCCCTTCACTAACTCATTCATCTAATATTTATTTCACACCTACCATCAGTTCTCTCTGTTTCACGGCCAGGAGTAGACAGCACGGCCAAGCTCCTGGGTTCATGATGCTCACATTGCTGTGGGGTGGGAGAGAGAGGCAGAACATGAATGAATGAATGAGAGAATGAATGAATGAGTGAATGATGGAATGAGTGAATGAATGAATGAATGAATGTATGAATTAGTGAGTGAATCCTTAGCACTTGGTGAAAGTGCCATGCACAGAATGAAATGAATGAACGTGGAACGTTGTCATTTGGAGTGTACAGGAGGGAACGTCTCACTGAGACCTCATCAGAGAGATCACATTTAAACTCCGATCTTAGAGACAAGAGGGAGTGAGCCCTGGGGAGTGTGTTGAAAGGAACTTTCATGGACTTAGGACATTGGGGATGACCCTAATGTGAGAATGAGCTTGGTGTGTTCCAAGAAGTCCATGGACCTGCCATATGGTGAGGGCTGGTCAGAATCCAGAGAGATTTCTAAATGCCCTTGTGCTTGTAAGGAAAGTGAGTCCTGTGGTTGGGAGTGGACTTATACCTTGGGTCAGGTCCAGCAATTATCTTTCTAAATCCTCTCTAATTGCCTGAACCACTTCTATCAACAACTGAGAAAAGAGGAGTGTTAAACACCCCACTGTGGCCGTGGATTTGCCTACCTGTCCATTTATTTCCGCGACTCTTCCTCCATGTATATTTGCAGGAATATTACTGGGAGTGGTTAAGTGTAAACTGATTATATATTCCTGGTAAATTTAAAATGCTATAAATTTACCTGCTTTTTTCCTACATTTTATGCTTAATGTTTTCCGCTGATTTTTCCCAAAGACTAATTTTGTCTAATTTTAATATAGTTATACCACATTTCTAACAGTGATTGCTTGGTATATTTCTACATTGTTTAATTTCAAACTCCATGAATTGTTAACATTGAGATGTGTCCTTTGTAAATTTCAAACAATTCGCCTTAGAAAGTAAGACTTTCTGACAATCTTTTGTTCATGTTTGAGCAGTTCTTCCAATCATATTTTTGTTATTATTACGTTGTGTTTTCCTGATTCCCTTTTTTTCCCACTGACTTCTGTGGTTTTCTATTTCAAACATTCTATTTTTGATCTATGTCGTTTAGGAATACATATATGGTGTACTCATCCTGAAGTTGTTACATATTTTTAAAATTGAAATTAATCATTTCAGAGATTAAACTGCAAATATAAAAACATATTTCCACTCTTCCTGTGTAAGAACAGGATTTTAGAGCATATTTAGTACATATGTTTGTATTTACTTATATGATGTTTTGTTTTGTGGTATACATAATTCTATCTTTTTCAGAAATTACACAGGGGCGTGTTTTCATACACTATCGTATGGTCCATATTCATTTTTGGCATAGCCATATTTTTAGTTCTTCCTCTGCTCTTAGTTATTGTCAGAATCTTCGACACCCCATCTGGTTTCACTTTCTTTATCTTTGAGGCACGGTCATCAGAATTTCCTTTAGGGTCAGTGAGAAAAGCTTTCTTTGCCCTTTTGTCTTTCAGTTCTGTTTCTTTCCTGCGTTGATCTTGGACAGTAACTGTACTATGTAAGGAATTGTCGGTGGCTGGCGACGGTATCTTAGCTGGGTAAAGATGCTATTCTACTGGCTTATGTTTTCCTTTTTTCTGTGGGGAAGACAATGCTTGGCTCCCTATAAATCCTTACCAGCTGATCCTTTTCCTCTGGCTAATTTTAAGGGTTGGTTGTGCTTTTATGCTGCTTTTCTGTAATGTTGAACGTGAGGTGTGTTTACTTCATTCTGCCTGGCATTCACTGGATTTCTTGAACCTGTGGATTGATGGATGTGTCTACTTCCTCCAAATAATCAACAATTGCCTCTTTAAAGATTGCTTCTGACCTGTTTTCTCGTTCTTTCTTTTTGGAACTCAAGTTAGGAGCATTCTAAAACTGTTGTCAATTTTTACCCTGTCACAAAACTGCTCTTTCTTGTTTCAGTTATTTGCTTTTTCTGTGCATTAATATTGATGGTTTCCTCTGTCATAGAGGATAAATACTCTCTTCACTGTTGTGTACACAACATTTTAACTAGTTATTCTGGTTTAAATTTAATATTGACTTTATCTACATATCACAATTGATTACTGTGTACAGACTTTCTTTTCTATTAGTATAAATTTATGAGGTACACTTGTAATTTTGTGACATGAGTATGTTGCAGAGTAGTGAAGTCAGGACTTTTACTATATCCATCACCCAAATACCGTACATTGTACTCATTAAGCAAATTCTCATCACTCACCCACGTCCCGCCACCCTCCAGCCTTCTAGCCTCCGCTGTCCGTCATTCCACACTCTACGTCCATATGTACACATTACTCCCCTCCCATGTAGAGTGAGAAGATGTGGTATTTGTCTTTCTGAGTGGTTTTATGTAAAATAATGGCGTCCAGCTCCATCTATGTTGCTGCAAAAGACATGGTTTTATTTTTATGACCAAATAGTATTTCGTTGTGTATACACGCATCCTTTTTTTAATCCAATCATTCATTCACAGACACTTAGATTGATTTCATATCTTTGCTATTGCAAACAGTGCTGCAATAAACATACAGGTGCAGGTATTTTTTGAGTAGATACCCAGCAGCGGGACCCCTAGATCGAATGGTGCTTCTATTTTTGGTTCTCTGCCAAATTTCCATACTGTCTTCCATAGAGGCTATACTAATTTACATACCGGCCAACAGTGTATAAGAGTTTCCTTTTCTCTGCATCCTTGCCAACACCTGTTATATGTTTCACTTTTTCTTTTTTTCTTTTTGAGATGGAGTCTTCCACTGTCACCCAGGCTGGAGTGCAGTGCCGCCATCTCCACGCGCTGCAACCTCCACCAACCAGGTTCAAATGATTCTCCTGCCTCAGCCTCCTGAGTAGCTGGGATTACAGAACCACACCACCATGCCCAGCTAATCTTTTGTATATTTAGTAGAGATGGGGTTTCACTATGTTGGTCAGGCTGGTCTCAAACTCCTGACCTCATGATCCACCCGCCTCAGCTTCCCAAAGTGCTGGGATTACAAGCGTGAGCCACCACTCCCCACCAGCATTTTTAGTAATAGCCATTCTGACTACTGTAAGATGATATCTCATTGTGGTTTCAATTTGCATTTCTCTGATGATTAGTGATGTTCATACGCTGTTTGGCCATTCGTATGTCTTCTTTTGAAAAATGTCTATGTATATCCCTTTGCCCACTTTTTAATGCTATTATTTGAGGGGTTATGTTTAGTTGTTTGAGTTGCCTAGAAATTCTGGATGTTAGTCCTCTGTTGGGTGCATAGTTTGCAAACATTTCCATTCATTCTGTGGGTTGTCTGTTCACCCTGCTACTATTTCCTTTGCTTGGCAGAAGCTCTTTCGTTTATTAAGTCCCATTGGTCTAGTTTTATTTTTATTGCCTGTGCTTTTGAGGTCTTAGTGATGAATTCTTTGCCCAGACCAATGCCCAGAAGAGTTTCTCTTTGGGTTTCCACCGGTGATTTTATAGTTCTGGATTTACATTTAAGCTGCTAATTACCTTAAGTTAATTTATGTGTATGATTACAGATACAGGTCCAGTTTTATTCTTCTGCATATGGCTATTTAGTTTTCCCAGCACCTTTTATTGAAAAGGAAATCTTTCTCCAGTGTATGTTTTGTTAACGTCGTCAATGATTATTCACTGTAGATATGAGGCTGTATTTCTGGGCTCTCTATTCTGGTCTATTGATCTCTGTTTCTGTGTCTATACCAGCACTGTGCTATTTAAGTTACTATAGCCTTAGAGCATAGTTTGAAGTCAGATAGCGTGATGCCTCCAGGTTTCTACATTCACCTAGAATTGCTTTCTCTATTAGGATCTTTTTTGGTTCTGTATGAATTTTAGGATTGCTTTTTCTAATTCTGTGAAAACTGGTGTTACTATTTTCATATAAGAATTGCACTGAATCTGTAGATTGCTTTAGGCAGTATGGTCATTTTAACAATATTAATTCTTATGATCCATGAGCGTGGGATTTTTTTTCTTTTTTTTTTTTTGTATTATCTATAATTGCTTTCATTGGTGTCTTACACCTTTCCTGGTACAGATCTTTCACCACCTTGGTTAAATGTATTCCTGAGTGTTTTAATTTTGCGTATCTATTGTAAACGGCATTGCCTTCTTGATTTGGTTCTCAGCTAGATCATTATAGGTGTAGAGAAATGCTACCGGCTTTTACATATTGATTTTGTATTCTGAAACTTTACTTAGTTCATTTATCAATCATAAGAATTTTTGGCAGGGTCTTTAGGATTTTCTAGATTTAAGATCATAGCATCAGAAATAAAAATAATTTTACTTCCTCTTTTCTAATTTGGATTTTTACTTCTTCCTGTTGCCCAATAGCTCTGACAAGGCTTCCAGTACTATGTTGATAGGAAGTGGTGGATGTCCGTGTCCTTGTCTTGTGCCAGTTCTCAGAGGAGTGCTTTTAACTTTTCCTGTTCAGTATGATGTTGACTCTAGATATGTCATCTATGGCTTTTATTATTTTGAGGTATGTTCTTTCTATGCCTAAGTTTTTGAGGGTTTTCATCAGGTAAGGATGTTGAATTTCTTTTCAGATGCTTTTCTTTATGTCTATTGAGATGATCATATGGTTTTTGTTCTGGATTCTGCTCGTTCTTCTAAGTGGATGAGACATGCCAGAAAAGCATTTAGTCAGCCATCTTGGAAACAAGCATCTCAGATGTTTTCTTTCTCTATAGCTCATTCTTTCTTACCAGTGTTTTCAATTTTGTACTTAATTTTGTAAAGAGAGTAAATGATATAATTTCCACATATGTTTCCTCTGCCAAATCAGACTCACTATGCTTCCTTTCCTTGTATGCATAACCTACCCAGCAATACACACAAACATTTATTGCTTTGGAGAATTAGTTTGGGAACATTTTTGAAATGTACAAAAAAATGTATATCTTCAAAAGAAATTTCTTTTTGTGGCAAAAGACTTCTGAAGGTGCTCATGATGATATAGGGAGAAGAGGGGTTCTGGACAGGAAGAATTTTATGAAGGTGAGATGGGGAAATAGCTCCATTTCAGAGCTTCTGGGGAGAGAGGGGCCTGGCCCACATGGAAAGGTCTCTGATCTTACCCCCACCCTCCAGCCCCTGTTCTCCAGAACTATACTGTGGAGAGTTCCATCAGGATTGTTGTGGCTGGTCTGGTCTTCCTGGCTCTTTTGGCAATGCTGGCTAAGACCTGGTGGAGACATGAGGGGCCACAGGTGGAAATGGAAGAAACATGACTGAAGCTGGCTGGAGTGAATGGCGCGACATTCTGTCTGTGGGAGATTGGCCAGATGGGTTTCAAGTGTGTTGTATCAGCTGTGACTTTTAGTAATGTTCTTGCTACCACAATATCCACTCGTCCATCCCGAATAATTGTGATGAAATATTGTCCTTGGGATAATATTCATTTGCTAAAGACAGGGATGATACCTCAAGGTGCCACTATATACATCGAGGGGATCCACAAAAGTCCATTCAGTAAAATGTAGTTGGCATCTTAGGGTAGGTTGATTCCACCTCTAAAAAAGTAGGTACAACATCAGGTTGATTTTTCCGAAGAAAAGTGGTGATTGGCCATCTTTAGTCTCAATGTAAACGGTAATACTGATGAGTGTGGAAAAGGCAGGGAAGAGGATTGACAATAAGTGACACTCATTGTTTTCATCTGAGCTTTGAGACTGAAAGAGGAACACAGGAGTGAGATGTATGGGAACAAACCCCTTCTTTTTCCAGCTAAACAGAGTGGAAGTTGGACACTGAGTTTTGGCGTACAGCAAAATCCTAAGTCCATTGTTGGGTTGAACACGGCCATGTTGTACATCCTGGTTTCACAGCAGACACTGGAGGAAAACAGCCTGTATTCATAAGAGGCTGTCCCTCGGGTCACTGCCCAGAATATCCGGAGTTGGTGCTCACAGGGTTGGGAACTCTCCTGGACCAGACAGGCTCTGGATATGGGGGGGTACCAAGCTCCCCGGGGCCATGCCTCCACAGCTCTCTTCTCACCTCATTCTTGACCATTTCCCAAACCTCTGACCTCACCTTCATTCATCCATGGTGAACACGCTAAAGCTGGCCTTCAAAGCTTGAGACAGAGGAAAATTGGGCTTCATCTCTGGGAACTAAATTGGGGAGTGGAGACTCAGTTCTGGCCTGACAGGAGGGAGAAGACCCTGGATCCCAGTGTGGATGGGAAGAAGTATGTGTTTCTCTTTTGTGCTTGGACCCTGTGTCCAAGCATGTCTGAGATGTGATGAAGATGAATCTTCCTTTCCTTGTCTATTTTCTCATGCCAGAGAATTGGAATCTTATATTCCATTAACTCTTTCTGTTCTGTTCATCCAGATTCTATGAAGGAGAAAGGAAAAGATGTGATACTGTAATTTTGCTCCATTTGTCTAAAATGAGTAGGCTGCAACTCCTCTTGAAGTGATACCTTTTCTAGCTCTTGTTGGAGGTGTCTCAGGACTCATTACTTCGGGGAACCTGCAACTGTGTCAGTCTGGGGAAACTGCAAATATTCTTGTCTTACATTTGTCTCCAGCCAATTGTGATGGACTCCAGTGACCTGCAATTGCTGTTATTGCAGGTAAAATGTACCTGAGTCAGGCCACAGTTCTCCTGGACTATGAGCCCCTGGCCATGTTCCTGAGGCAATTCTGTTCATCTAAATATAATAATAATAACACACTAAAAATGGCAAGCCATTGTTAATTCCTGAAGTCTCATTTGAAAATTACTAAATGTCTGTTATTTTTTGGTGTTTACATTATATGTAGACAGATAAACTACACACACACACACACACACACACATGCACACAGAAGAATGGATTGGTTCATGTAGAAAAGTAAATAATTCAAGATGAAAGGATGAAATGTCATGGCACCTACTATTCTATTTTAGATAAAGGGTCTATGAAAAGATTGATTTCTTTTTATGTTTTATTTGTTGACATTTGAACACAAACTATGTAAGTGAGGGAGTCGATTTGAAAGGGAGAAGAGCAAGTTCAAACACATTCAGGTGAGGTCATGCTTTACATGTTTTAATTGAAATGATCCATCTTGGGAGTAGATCAATAACTGAGATGGTGCCAGGAATGTTAAAAAGCTTTTGTCAGTCCTAAATATTGACAAATAAAATTTAATTAAAGTCTTAGAAGAAAACACAAAGGAAAACTTCACAACATCGGATTTGGCAGTGATTCTTTAGATGTGACAACAACGGCACAGGCTACTACAGAAAAAATAAACAAGTTAGACTTTATGAAAATTTTGAAATATTGTGACTCAAAAGACAACATCAGTTACTTCACATGGCAAGGAAAAAGAACTTTTAAGACGATATTATCAAAGTAAAAAGACAACCCACAGAATGGGAGAAAATGTTTTCAAACCACACCACCTGTAAGGGATTAACATCCAGAATATACAGACAACTCCTAAAACTCAATCACAATAAACTCAATTCAAAAATGGGCAAAGTACTGAAACAGACATTTCTCCAAAGAACATACGCATGAAAAGATATTCAGCATCACGAATCATTAGGGAAATACTAACTAAAACTACACCAGATGCCATTTCATACCCCTTAGGATGGGTATCATCAAAACAACAACAACAACAACAACAAAGTTTCTATACATTAACAACAAACTATCCAAAAAAGTTTACAAGAAAATAAGCCCATTTGCAATAACTACAGAAAACAAAACATGCAGGAATAAATTCACCCAAGGAGTAGAAAGATCTGTATGCAAAAGCTATAAAACATTGATGAAAAAACTCAAGAAATAAACAAATAAATCGAAAGATATTCCATGTTCACGGATCAGAAGGATTAATGTTGTTAAAATGTCCATTCTATCCAAAGTGATTCAATGCAACCATTATCAAAAATCCAATGACATTTTTTTTACAGAAATAGAAAAAACAGTCCTAAAATTCATGTGGAACCACAAAAGATCTCAAATAACCAAAGCCATCTAGAGGGAAAGGAACAAAGTTGGAAGAATCACATTACCTAAACACAAACTACATTACAAAGTTACAGTAATTAAAACAACACAGTACTTGCATAAAAACAGACACATAGACCAATGGAAGTGATTCATAGCCCAGGAAAAAAAATGCACGCATTTAGGGTCAAACAATTTTTGGGATGTATCAAGAACACACAATGGAGAAGGAACAGTCTCTTTAATAAATGGGATTGGGAGACATGCAGAAGAATGGAAGTGGACATTTGCCTCACAAAACATACAAAGTCAACTCAAGATAGATTAATGACTTAAATGTAAGATGAAAGACTATCATCCCAGCAATTTGGGAGGCCAAGGCGGGCAGATCACCTAAGGTCAGGATTCCAAGACCAGCATGGCCAACATGGTGAAATCCCGCCTCTACTAAAAATACAAAAACAGCTGGGTGTGGTTGTGGGTGCCTGTAATCTCAGCTACTCGGGAGGTTGAGACAGGAGAATCACTTGAACCCAGGAGGTAGAGGTTGCAGTGAGCCGAGATCGCACCACTGCACTCCAGCCGGGGCAACAGAGTGAGACTCCATCTTAAAAAAAAAAAAAAACTACTAAAAGAAATCAAGGGAAAACTCCACTGGCTTGGGCAAAACCATTTTGGATATTAACCCAAAGGCCCAGGCAACAAAAGCAAAAGTAGACAAATAACATTATATCAAATTGAAAGTTTCTGCAAAGAAAAAAAAAAACTCAACAAGTGGAAAGACAACCTATGGAATGGGAGAATATATTTGCACCCATACATCTAATAAGGAATTAATATCCAAAATATATAAGAAACTCAAACAACTCAATGGTAAGAAATCAAATAACCCAACTTAAAAAAATGGGCAAAGTATCTGAATAAACATTTCTAAGAATAAGACAAATCACCAAAAGGTATATGAAAAAATGATTAGCATTACTAAACATCAGCTAAATAAAAATTAAAACTAGAATGAGATATCACCTCACACCTCTTAGAATGACCATTAACAGTCTGGGCATGGTGGCTCATGCCTGTAATTCAGGCACTTTGGGAGGCCGAGGCAGGGAGATTACCTGAGGTCAGCAGTTCGAAACCAGCCTGGCCAATATGGTGAAATCCCATCCCTACTAAAAATACAAAAATTAGCAGAGTTTGGTGGCGCACACTTGTAGTCCCAGCTACTCTGGAGACTGAGGCAGGGGAATCGCTTGAACCCAGGAGGCAGAGGTTGCAGTACACCGAGATTGTGCCACTGCACTCCAGCCTGGGTGACAGAGCAAGACTGAGTCTCAAAAAAAAAAAAAAAAAGACCATTATCAAAAACATAAAAAATAACAAGGGTTAACGAGGATGTGGAGAAAAGGGAACATTTGTATGCAGTTGATGGGAATGTAAATTAGCACAACCATTATGGAAAACAGTCTGGAAGTTCCTGAAAAAATTAAACATAGAATTCCCATATGTGTCTGCAATCCAACTACTGCGCATGTATCCAAAGGAAGTGGAATCAGTATGTTGAAGAGATATCTGCATTCCCATGTTTACAGCCGCATTATTCATAACAGCCAAGATGTGGAATCACCCTTACTGCCCATCTATGGGTGCATGGACAAAGAAAACGTGGTATACGATAGGAACGTAATGAAGTACTATACAACCTTTACAACAAAGAAGGAAGTCCTCTCATTTGTGACAATGTGAAAAAACTTAGAGGACATTATGTTAAGGGAAACAATCCAGGCACAGAAAGACAAATGCCACATGATCTCATGTGTGGAGTGTAAGAAGTGGAACCTAGAGGAACAGTAAAATGGTCGTCGAAAGAACCTGGGAAGGAGAGAGATTGAAGAGATGTTGGTCAAAGGATGCAAAATTTCAGTTAGAAGAAATCGGTTCAAGAGATCTATTGTATGTCTTGGTGACTCCATTTAATAGCAACATATGGTGTACTGAACATTACTAAGAGATTAGATTTTACATGTTCTCACCACACACACAAAACATACAAGTATGTGAAAAAATAAATAGATAAAGAGGTTGTTTCATCCATTCCACAATGTGTACCTATATGAAAACATCATGATGGACACCACAAATACCCTTTTCCTCATTAATTAAATTTGTTTTGGCTTTTTTTTTGAGACGCAGTTTCACTGTTGTTGCCCAAGCTGAGGTGCAATGGCGTGATCTCCGCTCACTGCAACCTCTGCCTCCCAGGTTCAAGCGGTTCTCCTGACTCAGCCTCCCAAGCAGCTGGGACTACAGTTGCGTACCACCCCGTCCGGCTATATTTGTGTTTCTAGTAGAGACAGGGTTTCGCCATGTTGGCCAGGCTGGTCTCGAACTCCAGACCTCAGGTGATCCACCCGCTTCGCCCTCCCAAAGTGCTAGATTTCAGGCTGAGACACCACACCCAGCCTGTACATTGACTTTCTGCCCTTAAACTGTGCTGAAGTTTGTTTCTCAGATGTAGGAGCCTTTGGGCAGAGACTATGGGGTTTCTAGGTATAGAAATTATCTCATCTTCAAACAGAGGTAATTTGACTACCTCTCTCTGCTACTCTCTTCTTACTTGGATGCCTTATAATTCTTTCTCTTTCCTGATGGCTCTGTCTAGGACTTCAAGTACTATGTTGAATAGGATGGTGAGAGTGGGCATTCTTGTCTTGTTTCACTTATGAAGGGAACTTCTTCCAGCTTTTACTCATTCAGTATGATGTTGGTTGTGGGTTTGTCATAGGCGGCTCTTATTATATTGAGTTATGTTTCTTCAATGCTTAGCTTGTTGAGGGCTTTTAACATGAAGAAATGCTTAGTAAAAAGTATGTTCTACATGTGTGTTGAGAAGATCATGTGGTTTTTGTTTTTAGTTTTGTTTAGGTGATGAATCACATGTATTGATTGTGTATGTTCAACCAACCTTGCACCCTAAGAATAAAGTTGACTTGATCATGGTGGATTCACTTTTTGATATGCTGCGGGATTCAGTTCTTAGTATTTTTTGTGGATTTTTGCATCTATGCTCATCAGGAATATTGGCATGTAGTTTTCTTTTGTTTAATATTCTTTTCTGTCTTTAGTATCAGGGTGATGCCAGCCTTATAGAATGAGTAAAGGCCACCCTGGGCAAACAGTGAGACCCATCCCTTTTTAAAAATTATGAGTTTTACAAATTTAAAATGCATAGTGAAAAAGTTCTTACAAACTCCAGAAAGGTAGGTGTAAATAAGAGACATTTGTAAGAATGACAGCACATTAAATGTGTAGATTTCAACCTTCAGTTATTGCAATATTCCAGTATCAAGTTGGAGGATGTTATCAGTCTGATATTTTTTCCTCAAATGAGAGAGAGAAAGAAAGACACACAAACAACACAGGGAGAAAAAAAGCACACGTTACAGAGAGACAAAAAGGGAGACAGGGAACTGTGAATTTGGACTCTTGTGTCATAAGACAAATTCTAGATAACACGACCAGACCTTCAATTGACATATTGTGTTTTTGCTAATAAGGTGGAATTCTATGATGCGAAATAACTATATAGTCTTTTCTACTGGGATTTAAATCATTTTATCTGTTTCTGGCTTAACAGGAAAAATACAACCATGGAAAATTATGATGATTTATTTAATACGATTGCTCTATAGTGTTAATAAAACCTATTAGGTATTTTGCATATTACATATCAAGGAGAGTTTGAATCTCAGGTAGAAACAAAAAAAAATACATCAAAAGTTCCTCATGTGAGTGCAGAATTCAATCGTCCCGTGCAGGGGTAAGTGAGTCTGAGATGTGTTTTGAGCCTGGCCGTTGCGCATGATGTGAAGTGACAAGTCTAGTCTGCAGTTTTCAGAAACCCTCATTCCTCCCTTGACTGATTCACCACTTGAACCTCATATGACGTAGAAGAAGCCTACCTATGTCCCCTTCACATGTTGTGGTCAATGTGTCAACTGCACGATCCGGGCCCCTCACCACATCCTCTGCACCGGTCAGTCGAGCCGAGTCACTGCGTCCTGGCAGCAGAAGCTGCACCATGTCCATGTCACCCACGGTCATCATCCTGGCATGTCTTGGTGAGTCCTGGAAGGGAAGGAGCACCAGGGTTACACTATGGGCCTGCAGATTGGGTGTCTCCCCAGCAGAGAGCCATGTTCTGAAGCAAGTGAGTGGTGAGGATGAGTTAATTTTCAGTCCAGCGTGGCGCCCAGTGGCTCAGGAGGAAAGGGTAGGTTGCTGCCGAGATGAATAGTTCATCATGATCTTTCTTTGCAGGGTTCTTCTTGGACCAGAGTGTGTGGGCACACGTGGGTGAGTCCTTCCCCAAATGATGGGTTGCCATCTTCACCCCAATACAAGTGAATTTTCCGGAAATGGGAGGGAGGCAGCACAGAGGGTGGGCTGATGGGCTGACCATGGGAAGGCCTGGGGGGAGTCTCTCATGAACTAGTAAGAGGAGATCCTGGGAGTCTCTCATGAACTAGTAAGAGGAGATCCTGGGAGTCTCTCATGAACTAGTAAGAGGAGATCCTGGGAGTCTCTCATGAACTAGTAAGAGGAGATCCTGGTATGCTCAGCCTTCTGTTTTGTCTTAGCCCTCCCCAGCCTTTCTTCCCCATGGCTGAGTTGAGCTCTGTGTGGCCCAGGCGGGATACTGAGGTGCTCAAAGCTGGGGTGTGTGGGGGGATGTGGTGTCACCGACAGAGGAGGGAAGGGTAGCAGTGTTAGGAACAGCAGGTCCTCTGAGGACAAGAGGGTAACTCACACCCTCCAGCGTTTCCATGACGGTAGGGGCTGCAGTGTGGCTGCTGTCATTCTGCCAGAAGAGGTGGGGGAACCACAGCCACGACCCTGCCATTCCAAATCCTCTGATGGAGCTCAGTTGTTTATTGTGGTTCAGGCATTAGCTAATATTCCATTCACAAAGGTCATACCCTCCACCCCATGTCTACTTTGTGTTGTTTGGTGTAACTAATCTTGCAGTATTAAAATCTAGTAAGAGTCCCTTACTCAGCACCTGCTCAGTTCTCAACTGACACTTTTGTTGTAGGGAGACGCCACGTCTATGCGGGATGGGTCCTTCCTGTAGCCCCAGGCACCCAGGTGTGGTAGGAGCCTTAGAAAGAAGAAATGGGGAGAATCTTCTGAGCACAGGGAGGGAGGGGCAGCTCAACATACTCCTCTCTGAGGCGGCATCTCCTTCTCCCCAAGGTGGTCAGGACAAGCCCTTCTGCTCTGCCTGGCCCAGCGCTGTGGTGCCTCAAGGAGGACACGTGACTCTTCGGTGTCACTGTCGTCGTGGGTTTAACATCTTCACGCTGTACAAGAAAGATGGGGTCCCTGTCCCTGAGCTCTACAACAGAATATTCTGGAACAGTTTCCTCATTAGCCCTGTGACCCCAGCACACGCAGGGACCTACAGATGTCGAGGTTTTCACCCGCACTCCCCCACTGAGTGGTCGGCACCCAGCAACCCCCTGGTGATCATGGTCACAGGTCAGAGGGCTCCTGTCTGGGCTTCTCCTTGTCCCACCTCCTGAGTCCCAGAGCTTCTGGTGGGGGTGTCCACCAGAGTCCGATCATCCAGGCCCCAACTATATTTGGGGTAAAGGGGGATTGAATACAGGGGAATGGGTGCTGTGTTGGAAAGAATAACTGTCCCCATCGATGGCCACATTGTAATCCTTGGAGCCTGTGACTATGTTATAGGGCAGGGGACTGAAGGGGAAGATGGAGCTCAGGTTGTTGATGAGTTGACCTTGAGATGGGGAGATGGCCTGGACCCTCCCACTGGGCTCAGTGTAATCACAAGGGTCCATATGAGTGGAGAAGGAAGAGGAGAATGGGGATTAGAGCAGCATCGTGGGATACTCCACCAGCCACTGTGGGCTTTGAAGGTGGAGGAAGACCACGAGCCACGAAGGGGCTGGAGAAATCAATGGAACTGATTCTCCCGAGTCTCCAGAGGGAATGCAGCCCTGCAGATGCCTTGATTGTAGCCCAGGAAGAACAGGGTCTGATTTCTGTCTCCAGAAGTGGAAGGGGTCAGTGTGTTCTCTCCTGCCGCCATGTTTGTGATAATTTTCTCCAGCAACAACAGGAAACCAACACAGGAACCCAGGTGAAGGACAAGTTAAAAAACCAAACAAGAAGGTTGGCTACCCTGAGATCAGCAAGGGTGCACTGCTGATGCCACCACCAGGCTGGAACCACATAGGGAGGGATCGACAGGAAGAGTTGGGGGTGGAGGGTGAGAGAGAGAGAGAGAGAGAGAGCACTAGGCCATAGAGCAGGGCAGTGAGTTCTCAGCTCAGGTGGGAGGGGAGCTGTGACAAGGAAGAACCTCCCTGAGGAAACTGCCTCTTCTCCTTCCAGGTCTATATGAGAAACCTTCGCTTACAGCCCGGCCGGGCCCCACGGTTCGCGCAGGAGAGAACGTGACCTTGTCCTGCAGCTCCCAGAGCTCCTTTGACATCTACCATCTATCCAGGGAGGGGGAAGCCCATGAACTTAGGCTCCCTGCAGTGCCCAGCATCAATGGAACATTCCAGGCCGACTTCCCTCTGGGTCCTGCCACCCACGGAGAGACCTACAGATGCTTCGGCTCTTTCCATGGATCTCCCTACGAGTGGTCAGACCCGAGTGACCCACTGCCTGTTTCTGTCACAGGTGAGGAAAGCCAATGTCTGTCCCATGTCCTATGGTCCTAGAGCCTTAGCTGAGGAGCTTCCTGCTGATGATGGAGAGAAGCATGGACAGATGTGGAGAGAAGATGCAGCATGGTGTGAGGGTGGGATCAGGGCACAGGATGGCAGACAGGGCACCTCCAAACCCTCCTGCATGGCCTGCATGGAAGCTTGCAGTAAGGGCTCCGGGTACCCAGGCAGATGGAGAAAGTGGTCAGGACAGACCCAGAGGAGGGAGACTGGGCTCAGTTTGGGGAGATCAGAGGTTCCCTCAGCCCCTCAACCTTACCCATTTCCCAGAAGCCCACCCTGGCCTCTCACCTACACAGAGATGTCATCACCAGCAACCCCTACACTTTTTCTTTTCCTTTGAAAAAATGCTGATTGAGGTTAAATATACCTATATAATTTATCAACTTTACCATTTTTAAGTGTAAAATCTAGGGATCATAAATACCTTTATATGCTGTGTGCAGTGGCTCACGCCTGTAATCTCAGCATTTTGAGACGCCAAGGCAGGTGGATCATTTAAAATCAGGGGCTGGAGACCAGCCTGGCCAACATGGGGGAACCAATCTTTACTAAAAAGACAAAAAAAATAAAATTAGCCAGGCATGGTGCCAGGCGCCTATAATCCCAGCAACTTGGGAGGCTGAGGCGGGAGAGTGGCTTAAACCCAGGAGGAGGAGGTTGCAGTGAGCTGAGATCATGCCACTGCACTGCAGCCTGGTGACACAGAGAGACTCTGTCTCTAAATAAATAAATAAATACTTTTATATTCTTCTTTTGTTACCCTCCACCCCTTCCTTCCTAACCTCTGGTATCCACCATTCTACTCTCTACCTTCATGAGGTCCACCTTTTACATCCTGCATGTGAGTAAGAAATGGCAATCCTTGTAATGACCTCCAGTCCATCCATGTGGCTGCAAATGACAGGACGTTTCTCTTTGTATGGATGAGTTGTCTCCATTGTGTGTATGTACTACATTCTCTCTATCCATTCATCCACTGATGGGCAGGTAGGTTGACTCCACATCTTGGCTACTGTGAACAGTGCTGGAACAGTCATGGGAGTGCAGATGTCACTTCAATACACTGAAGTCCTTTTCTTTGCATTTACACCCACTAGTGGAATTGCTAGATCCTCTGGATGTTCTCTTTTTAGGTTTTGTTTTATGCTTTTTGTTTTTTTGACATAGCGTTTCACTCTTGTTGCCCAAGCTGGAGTGCAATGGCACCACCTGGGCTCACTGCAACCTCTACCTCCAGGATTCAAGTGATTCTCCAGCCTCAGCCTCCCGAGTAGTTGGGATTACTGGTGCCCGCCACCACGCCTGGCTGATTTTTGTATTTTTAGTAGAGACGGGGTTTCACCATGTTAGCCAGGCTGGTCTCGAACTCTTGACCTCCAGTGATCTGCCCACTTCAGCCTCCCAAGGTGCTGGGATTACAAGCGTGAGCCACAGTGCCTAATCTCTTTTTAGTTTTTAAGGAACTTCCATATTCTTCTCCTCTGTAATGGCTGTATTAATTTACATTCCTATCAACAGTGTATCAGGGTTCTCCTTTCTCCACCACCTTGCCAACATTTGTTTTGTCTGTCTCTGAGATAAAACCCATTGTAATGGGGTGAGATGATAGCTCATTGTGACTTCATTTGCATTTCTCTGATGATTAGTGATACTGAGCACTTTTTCATATATGCAATGTATATATGTTCATTTGTATGTTTTGTTCATTGAGAAATGTCTGTTCAGGTCTTTTACTAATTTTATAATTAAATTATTAGTTTTATTGAGGTGTTTGAGCTTCTTTTATATTCTAGTTATTAATCCCATCTCAGATGCATAGTTTGCAAATATTTGCTCCCATTCTGTGGGTTGTCTCTTCTTCACTTCATTGGTTGCTTCCTTTGCGGTGCAGAAGCTGCTTGATTTGATATAATCCCAATGGTCTATTTTTTTGTTGTTGTTGTGATTACTTGTGTTTTTGAGGTTTTAAACAAAATGTCTTCCCTCAGACAAATGTCCTGGAGCATTTCTCCAGTGTTTCCTTTTAGACATTTAATGGATTCAGGTCTTAAGTCATTAATCCATTTTCATCTGATTTTTGTGTATGGTGAGAGGTAGAGGTGCAGTTTCATCCCTCTGCATGTAGATATCCAGTTTTCCCTGCACCATTTATTGAAATGACTGTCCTTTCCAGATTGTAGATTCTTCGAACCTTTGTCAAAGTCCATTGGATGTAAATGGGTGGATTACATCCGTGTTCTTCATTCTGCTCCATTGTTTTATGTGCTTTTCTTTATGCCAATGTCATGTTGTTTTGTTTACTACAGCTCTGTAACATATTTTTAAGTCAGGTAGTGTGATGCTCCTGTTTTCTCCTTATACCTTGAAGTCTCAAGATAGTTGGTGTCACCTACAATGATTATGGAGAATGGGATGCCAGGACTCCCAGGGCCCAACATTAGATAATAGAATGTTGGCCATGAACCAACCTCAAAGATTTCCATTGAGTAGAAGACAGGCATCCTCATTGCCACACCTCTCTCCTGTCCCATGTTCTAGGAAACCCTTCTAGTAGTTGGCCTTCACCCACTGAACCAAGCTTCAAAACTGGTAAGTGAAGGACCCCTCTTATCTCTGCTTTTGGAAACCTGGGGAGGTAGAAGCCTTGGATTCAAGCGTTGGCTCAGCACCTGCCAGCTCTGTGATTGTGGGCCTGTCTTCCATTGTCTCTGAACCCCAGACACTCCAACAGCGAAAGGGATCTGGGCCCAGCACAGGGCTCAGTGAAATCTCTTAATCTCTAATTTTCTGCTGCTGAGACCTCAGGGTAGAAGGATGAGTGCAAATCAGACATTCTTCTCAGGAAAAATGCTGTGTTTGTTCTGCCTGCATTCCTAACTGGGAGGACAAATGCCTGGGGGCTTGAGAAGGGGAAGGACGGGGAACATTTTTGAGGGTGGTGTATTTGTAGAGAAGTTCTACTTGCCAAGGAATGAGCTCCTGTCTGTCATGATCCAACCCTGGTTGACTTAGTGGAACAAGAGCTTTGCAGTAAGAGAGAACGTAGTTCATCCGTGCACATGACACTTCCACTTACTCGTTCAGCCACTGCCCCATGCTCAGACTGTGCAGTGTGGAACCTTTTCCTATGTTGCCATAACAAATTTCCACAAGCTTCGTGGATGGAAACCACATTTTTAAAAAATATCTCATGGTGCTGTAGCTCAGAAGTATGAAATGCATCATCTCACTGGGCTAAAATCAAGGTGACAGCAAGGCTGCCTTCCCTCTGAATGTTCCAGGCAAGAATCTGCTTCCTCACTTTTCCCAGCTCCTAGAGGCTCCCACATTCCTTGGCTCCTGGTCCCCGTCTTCCTCCCTCAAAGTCCACAAAGGCTGGTCACGCCTCTCACACGGCATCACTCAGACCCTTCTTCCTTGTCCACACCTCTTTCTCTGAATGCTGCTCTGCCTTCTTCCTCATCTTTTAAGGACTTTGGCATTCTATTGGAAACACCAAGATAATCCATCATAATTTCCCTAAAATCATCTAGGATACCCTCCTTTTAAGGTTAGCTGATTAGCAACCGTAATTCCATCTGCAATCTGCATTCCTTTTTTCCATGTAAAATAACATATTCACAAGATATGGCGACTAGGACAGGAACATTTTGGGGTGGGGCGGCATTCTTATCCTTTCCACAAATGGTAAACAAGGTGCATTTGGCCTCTGCTCTTGGACACTGATATTGCAAAGGATTAAATGGGAGGGCAGAAAATGAATGCACCAGTGGACCAATAAATGAATGATCCATTGGGAAGCATCTGTGCATGAGAATGATTGATTGATTGGTTGTTTTTATGAGACGGTGTCTCCCTCTGTGCCCCAGGCTGGAGTGCAGTGGCGGGATCTCGGCTCACCGCAACCTCCACCTCCCAGGTTAAAGCGATTCTCTACACTCAGCTTCCCGAGAGGCTGGGATTACACCCATGTCCCACCACGCCTGGCTAATTTTTTTTTGGTATTTTTTTTTAGTACAGACAAGGTTTTACCATGTTGCCCAGGCTATCTCAAACTCCCAACCTTAAGGGATCCGCCCGTCTCAGCCTCCCAAAGTGCTGAGATTAGAGGCGTGAGCCAAGGCGCCGAGCCGTATTTTAAAAGAAATAATAGATAATGCTGAGTGTATAATTTCGGGTGACAGAGAAGTTCTCACTGATCAAATAATACTTGTGACCTTAATGAAAAAAATAGATCAACCCCTGGAAGATTGGCGGAAGGATTTTCCACACAGCTGTCAGCCGTGAAGGCACAAAGGTGAAAACAATGTTATGTGGAAGGAAGAGGCTCTGCCTGAAATGCTGGGAATGACATGGGGAGAATGACAAGACGACTGTGGAGAGACAGAGAGCACTCTGGGTACACAGGAAACTAAGGAGGAACAAGGAGCGTGTGTTTGATACTCACAGCCATTGGACTTACCTCGGGGCTAACTGGGAATCCCTACATGATGAATAGTGACTGACATGAAAATAAGGGAGGCCCAGGTGCATAACTGGAATCTAGGAGACTGTGGAAAAGGCAATTCCCGCCCCCCTGGTGAAATGTGGTGCTGATTTAGACACTAAATGAATGAAAGATGGACACAAGATGTGTTTGTGAGGTAGAGTAATTTGCAGGGAGGGCTTGCCTGGTTTGATTTTTCCTAATTGTTTAATCTTCACTTCATTGATTTCTTTCTGAGATTTATTTTTCCTACATGTAAATCAATACTTGGCAGAGGAGTGAGAGATACATGAGGGGTGGTGCAAAGGAAGAGACCTATTATAATATAACACACAAGGTTCTGAACGGTGGCTCACACCTGTAACCCAACATTTTGGGAGGCTGAGGAGGCTGGATCAAGTGAGATCAGGAGTTCGAGATCAGCCTGGACAACATGGTGAAACCCCATCTCTACTAAATATACAAAAACTAGCTGGGGGTGGTGGCGCGTGCCTGTAATACCAGCTATTCGGGAAGTTGAAGAAGGAGAATGGCTTCAACCAGGGAGGGAGAGGTTACAGTGAGCCAAGATCGCGTCATTGCACTGCACCCTAGGTGACAGAGTGAGACTCCATGGCAAAAAATAAAAATAAAGAATACATAAATATAATATAACATACACGAATGACAAAGGCACACCAATTCCAATCATCATTTTTCTATTTCTCTATAATGACTTCTTTGATCCTTTATCCTATCCGTAAGAAAATCAGGCGAAAACATCTTCCTTATTTGGCTTTCTGTGAGCATGAGATCATATGGAAAATGTGAAACCCACCAGCACAGGTCCTGGAATAGAGAACGTGATCTGTTCATGGCACAAAACTTGCCCCTTCACCCAAATCCCCCACCTCACCCCTACTTCCAATCACATTAATGATACAGATAGATCATGGGGAGGTAAAAACTAATATTCTTTGGAGTTCAGATCGTAGACTCAGAGACCAGTGCCAGCACTATCTCCTGGTCACCTTTTGGAGTAATTCACAGAAAGACAGGCTGTATTGAAGCAACAGATGATGGAGGGGGTGGTCTTTCCCCCAGACTCTCGGGTGGAACAGCAGCCTAATATCTGACTCCCAAGATGACAAAAGTAGCATGTTGCCCACGAGCTTCATCATTATTTCCTGGCTGTTTGATATAAGACAGCTCAACCTCACTTATGTTGATTTCAATGTCACTGTTTTTTCCTTTTCTTGGAGAATGTAATTTGTTTGAGTCAAGAGGGTTGTGGATGTAGAAACTGTAAAGCACATTCACTGTGTATCAATCCCAGTCCAGTCTTCCCAGAGAAGACTCTAAACACCTCCCATACTGCACCTGGGGCTGTGCCAATTTCTATCACTCACCATCACTCCAGGGAGACAGAACACACAGGGAATACATTACATAGGCAGGTTCATTACTTATAGATAAGCAGCGAGTGACAACAGAAACCTTCCTTTCAGGGTGAGCCAGTCCCTCAAGGCTCAGAAAAACTGCTCAGGACACATGGAGTCACTTCATGTGCACTGTAGCTGGGGGAAGCCAGAAAGCAGCCCAGCCTGGGTTTTGTACCCTGGAGCCACAGGGAACACTCAGCTAAAGCACTGCATGATGTTCTCCTCCAGGAAGAACAGGAAGACAGCCCAGGCTGTTCTGAGACGTTCCTCCTGATCTCAGGATGTTGCTGTCTTAGCCTATTTTTGTTGCTATAAAAGAACACTTGAGCCTGGGTATCTTCTAAAGAAAAGAGATGTGTTTGGCTCACTGATCTGCACGCTGTACTAGAAGCAGGACACTACCATCTATTTCTGGCTGCGGCCTCAGGCTGCTCCCACACTGACAGAAGAGAAGGGGGTCCTGCGTGTGCAGAGACCACAGAGATCACATGGCAAGAGAGGGAGAAAGGGGGTGTGATGGAGCTTCCAAGCTCTTTTTAAGAATCAACTCTCCAGGGTACTAATAGAGGGAGAACTTGCTAACCCCGTCCTCTGGGGACAGCATTAATCTATTCATGATGGATCCACCCCCATGACCAAAACACCCCTCCCAATAGGCACAACCTCCCACACTGGGGATTAAATTTCAAAGTGGGGTTTGGAGGGGTCAAACATTGAAACAATAGCAGTTGTATCATCAGCACATTCTATTGTTATTATGAAAACTATAACGGAGAAAGCAGGAGAAAGCTGGGTCTCCCGCCTCGTGGGTGCTTGTCTTAAAGAGGTGTTTTATGTGGTTGCCTGGCAACCAAGAAATGAGAGACAATCCACAAAGAGGAACTGCTATGGTTAGCTTCTTATTGGATTCCCATCTTCCTCCAGGTATCGCCAGACACCTGCATGCTGTGATTAGGTACTCAGTGGCCATCATCCTCTTTACCATCCTTCCCTTCTTTCTCCTTCATCGCTGGTGCTCCAAAAAAAAAGTAAGCCTCACGAAGCAGAGGCCAGAGAACTCAGGGCCCTGTGCGGAAGCAGGATGGGAGCACGCAGGTGTGTGTTCCTCACTGGCAGGAAAGTCTCTGGCCCAAGGCAGGAGCCAGAGGCAGAGCTTTCTAGAGAGAGCACCAGACACCCTGCCCCTGCCTTCAGCTCACAGACCGTTGCCTGATTGTGAACTGTATCCTCACGTCCCCTGCAGCCACTCACATCCAGGAGAAGATTCCATGACAGGCAGAAAGTGGGAGATAGAATCAATGGGATGGGAACTGACAGCTATTCATGGAATGGGGTCTTGCACTCAGAGAGATGGAATGTCTGAGTCTGGCTGTTGGCAGCTGAGGGACCTCAGGCACCTATGGCCTCCCCCTGTGTGTTGGTATCTGTTCATGAAATGAGGACCCAGAAGTGCCCTCCCAGCTGTTTTGATTGCTTCCGTCTCCTACAGATGCTGCTGTAATGAACCAAGAGCCTGCGGGACACAGAACAGTGAACAGGGAGGTAGGTCCTCCTAGCCCAGCCTCATGGATACAGTCTTATTCCGAAATAGTCCTGAAAAATGTGAACACCCTCCCTCACTCAGGATTTCCCTCTCTCCAGGACTCTGATGAACAAGACCCTCAGGAGGTGACATACGCACAGTTGGATCACTGCATTTTCACACAGAGAAAAATCACTGGCCCTTCTCAGAGGAGCAAGAGACCCTCAACAGATACCAGCGTGTGTATAGAACTTCCAAATGCTGAGCCCAGAGCGTTGTCTCCTGCCCATGAGCACCACAGTCAGGCCTTGATGGGATCTTCTAGGGAGACAACAGCCCTGTCTCAAACCCAGCTTGCCAGCTCTAATGTACCAGCAGCTGGAATCTGAAGGCGTGAGTCTCCATCTTAGAGCATCACTCTTCCTCACACCACAAATCTGGTGCCTGTCTCTTGCTTACCAATGTCTAAGGTCCCCACTGCCTGCTGCAGAGAAAACACACTCCTTTGCTTAGCCCACAATTCTCTATTTCACTTGACCCCTGCCCACCTCTCCAACCTAACTGGCTTACTTCCTAGTCTACTTGAGGCTGCAATCACACTGAGGAACTCACAATTCCAAACATACAAGAGGCTCTCTCTTAACACGGCACTTAGACACGTGCTGTTCCACCTTCCCTCGTGCTGTTCCACCTTTCCTCAGACTATTTTTCAGCCTTCTGGCATCAGCAAACCTTATAAAATTTTTTTGATTTCAGTGTAGTTCTCTCCTCTTCAAATAAACATGTCTGCCTTCATTCTTTAGGTGACTCTTTTTTTGGCTGAAAGTTTCCAGTGTTATCATTACCATGTCCAAATAACTCCAACTGTTCTCCACTGGGTTCTCACCCCTGGACTCGGAGCTTCTGGAAGCAGGGTGGAGCCTGATTTGTCTCTGAGACTCCAATTTCCATCCAAAGATGCAGCACATAAGAGGTTCCAAGGATCGTGAATCACATGAACAAGTGATATTCTTACTCTCTGCAGACCTGGAAAGCTGGCAGAGTCATTCCATGATGAAACATTTGTAGAGTCATAGGCCTTGTTAGTCTCATCTCCACGGGGACACATATCAACACATCATCTTTCATACTATAAATATACAGTCGGTCCTCTGTATCTGTGGGATTTACAGGTGTTTATTGAACCAAATATAAATCAAAAATATTCAGAGAAAAAATCCACAAAGTTTCAAAAAGCAAAACTATGTTGAATGGACACAAATGAAGCTGTGTGTAGGCTGTATCAGGAATTATAAATAATCAAGGGATGATTTCATGTACACAGGAGGATGTGCATGGGTTATTTGCAAATGCTGTGCCATTTCATGTAAGAGGCTTGAGCGTCTGCAGATTGTGCTATCTGAGTGGAGATCCTGAAACCAATCACCCACGAATAGTGAGGGATGACTGTATATAATTTTTATTTCTCAATTTTAAATATAAAACATAAAAAAATTACAATAACAAGATAAAATAAACAAGTGTTTTATAGTGTGAGAATACGTTTAGATATATTTTTCTCTATGTGTAACCCTTGGGCCCATGTTATTTATTGAGAAGACATTCTATTCCACCTTAAACCACATGGCAGCCTTTGTCAACTATAAAGGGACTGTGTGTACACGGATGTATTTTAGACACTGTTTTCTGCTCAGTGGCTCTCTCTCTGTCCACTCTCTTGAGAATGCTGCATTTTATGCAGCCTTATACAACCCCTAAAATTTGGTAGCTGGAGTCCTCTAGTTATTTATTATAGGCTATTTGCTATGCTTTTTTTATTTTTCTTGAGGCAGAGTCTCGCTCTGTTGCCCAGGCTGGAGTGCAGTGGCACGATCTCGGCTCACTGCAACTTCCGCCTCCCAGGTTCAAGGGATTCCGTGCCTCAGCCTCTTGAATAGCTGGCATTACAAGTGCCTGCTACCAGGCATGGCTAATTTTTGTATTTTTAGCAGAGACATGGTTTCACTATATTGGCCAGGCTGGTCTCAAACTCCTGACCTCGGTTGATCACTCACCTCGGCTTCCAAAGTGCTGGGGAAATTGATTTTCTATAGCATTATGTTACTGGATATTTCTGTAAAATTTAAAATGAGGGAGGCAGAGAGACAGAGAGAGAGCAAACCATGAGTTGGAACTCTGGAATCTTGGGACATGAGACAAATTCTAGATAAATCTACAAAAATCCAGAATTTACATGTTGTGATTTTTGCTGATAAAGTACAATTCTAAGATTGTAAATAATTGCATAATCCTTCCCTGGGAGTTTAAATCATTTGAACTGGTTCTGCTGTAATACTAGAAATACAATCATGAAAAATTCTAATGGTTTATTGTCACAATTGCTCTGAAAACCTTAATAATACCTATTAGATATTTTGCATATTACACAGGAAGAAGAGTTTGAATCTCAGATAAAAACAATAAAAATACATGAAAAGTCTTTCATGTTAGCACAGATTTTAGGCATCTCATGTTCGGGAGGTTGGATCTGAGACGTGTTTTGAGTTGGTCATAGTGAAGGACGCGAGGTGTCAATTCTAGTGAGAGCAATTTCCAGGAAGCCATGTTCCGCTCTTGAGCGAGCACCCACTGGGCCTCATGCAAGGTAGAAAGAGCCTGCGTACGTCACCCTCCCATGATGTGGTCAACATGTAAACTGCATGGGCAGGGCGCCGAATAACATCCTGTGCGCTGCTGAGCTGAGCTGGGGCGCAGCCGCCTGTCTGCACCGGCAGCACCATGTCGCTCATGGTCGTCAGCATGGCGTGTGTTGGTGAGTCCTGGAAGGGAATCGAGGGAGGGAGTGAGGGGATGGAGATCTGGACCTGGAGGTAAAGATATGGGCCTAGAGGTGGAGTTATGGGCCTAGAGGTGGAGTTATGGGCCTGAAGTGGAGATCTGGGCCTGGAGTGGAGATCTGGGCCTGGAGTGGAGATAGGGGCCTGGGGTGGAGATATGTGCCTGGAGTGGAGATCTGGGCCTGGAGTGGAGATATGGGCCTGGGGTGGAGATATGTGCCTGGGGTGGAGAGATGGGCCTGGAGGGGAGATATGGGCCTGGAGGGGAGATGTGGGCCTAGAGGTGGAGTGATGGGCCTAGAAGTGGAGCGATGGGCCTGGAGTGGAGATATGGGCCTGGAGGTGGAGTTATGGGCCTGCAGTAGAGATATGGGCCTGAAGTGGAGATATGGGCCTGGAGTGGAGATATGGGCCTAGAGGTGGAGTTATGGGCCCGGAGGTGGAGTTAAGGGCATGAAGTGGAGATCTGGGCCTGGAGTGGAGATATGATCCTGGAGTGGAGATATGGGCCTGGGGTGGAGATACGGGCCTGGAGCAGACATACAAGCCTGGAAAGGAGATATGGGCCTGGAGAGGAGATAGAAGCCTGGAGTGGAAATATGGGCCTGGAGTGGACTTACCAGCCTGGAGAGGAGATATGGGCCTGGAGTTGAGATAGGAGCCTGGAGTGGAGATATGGGCCTGGAGTGGACTTACCAGCCTGGAGAGGAGATATGGGCCTGGAGTGGAGATACGGACCTGGAGTGGAGATCTGGGCCTGTTGTGTAGATCTAGGCCTGGAGGTAGAGATCTGGGCCTGGAGGCTCAGTCTCTGCACAGCCGAGATCCTTGTTCCTGGGGGCAGGTAGGCAGCGAGGGTGAGTTTACCTTCAGCCCAGCAAGGGCCTGGCTGCCAAGACGCACAGCCCAGTGGGGGCAGCAGGGTGCCCTGGTTTGCCTGCAGATGGATGGTCCATCATGATCTTTCTTTCTAGGGTTGTTCTTGGTCCAGAGGGCCGGTCCACACATGGGTGAGTCCTTCCCCAAACCTTAGGGTGTCATCTCCCCACATAAGAGGATTTTCCTGAAATGGGAGGGAAGTCCTGTCGGGGAGTCTCTCATACACTAGGAAGAGGGGACCCTCGGATGCTCGGCCCACATTTCTGACCTTGCCTTCCCCGGCCTTTCATTCCCTTTCCTGAGTCAAGCTCTGTGAAGACTGGGGTGAGACTAGGGTGCTCCAAGATGGGTGTGCAGGGAGGAAGTGGTGTCAGCAGCAGAGAAAGAGAGGGAAGCAGTGCTAGGAACAGCAGGTCCTCTGAGGACAAAGGTGTAACTCACACCCTCCAGCGTTTCCGTGATGGTAGGGGCTGCAGTGTGGCTGCGGTCTTTCTACCAGAAAAGGTGAGGAAACCACAGCCATGGCCCTGACATTCCAAATCCTCTGATGGGGGCTCAGTTCATCAATTGGCTGATATTCCATTCACATAGGACTTGCCCTCCATGCCGTGTCTACTTTGTGTTGTTTTATATGAGTAATTTTGCAGTATTAAAATCTAGTAAGAGTTGCTTCTCCAGCAACTTGCTCAAAGTTCTCAGCTGACACTTGTTGTAGGGAGACGCCAAGTCTATGCAGGATGGGTCCTTCCTGTAGCCCTGGGCACCCAGGTGTGGTAGGAGCCTTAGAAAGTGGAAATGGGGAGAATCTTCTGGGCACTGGGAGTGAGGGGCGGCTCCACATCCTCCTCTCTAAGGCAGTGCCTCCTTCTCCCCCAGGTGGTCAGGACAAACCCTTCCTGTCTGCCTGGCCCAGCGCTGTGGTGCCTCGAGGAGGACACGTGACTCTTCGGTGTCACTATCGTCATAGGTTTAACAATTTCATGCTATACAAAGAAGACAGAATCCACATTCCCATCTTCCATGGCAGAATATTCCAGGAGAGCTTCAACATGAGCCCTGTGACCACAGCACATGCAGGGAACTACACATGTCGGGGTTCACACCCACACTCCCCCACTGGGTGGTCGGCACCCAGCAACCCCGTGGTGATCATGGTCACAGGTCAGAGGCTTTCCGTCTGGGCTTCTCACTGTCCCACCTCCTGAATCCCAGAGCTTCTGGTGGGGGTGTCCGTCAGGGTCCCATCACCCAGGCCCTGACTGTATTTGGGGTCAAGGGAGATTGAATACAGGGGAAATGGGTGCTGTGGTGGGAAGAATCACTGTCCCCAATGATGGCTACATTGTAATCCCTGGAGCCTGTGACTATTTATGTTACAGGGCAGGGGACTGAAGGGGAAGGTGGAGCTCAGGTTGTTGATGAGTTGACCTTCAGATGGGGAGACAGCCTGGACTGTCCCACTGGGCTCAGTGTAATCACAAGGGTCCACATGAGAGGTGGAGGAAGAGGGGAGTGGGGATTAGAGCAGTGTAGTGGGAGGGAGACGCTATCAGCCACTGCGGGCTTTGAAGGTGGAGAAAGACCACTAGTCACAGAATGCAGGTGGCCTCTAAGGGCTGGAGAAGTCAAGAGAACTGATTCGCTGATTCTCCAGAGGGAACGCAGCCCTGTAGACACCTTGATTTCAGCACAGGGAGAACTGGATCCAATTTCTGTCTCCAGAAGTGGAAGGGGTCAGTGTGTTCTCTCCCGCTGCCATGTTTGTGGTAATTTTCTGCAGCAGCAACAGGAAACCAACACAGGAACCCAGGTCAAGGACAAGTTAGGAAACCAAACAAGGATAGCCAGATGTGGTGGTGGGCGCGAGTAATCCAACGACTGGGGAGGCTGAGGCAAGAGAATCACTTGAACTGGGGATTTGTTCAAAAGAGATTGATTCAGGCTGCTAAGAGCCTGGACATGCAGCCTGTCCTCTTCCACCCCCACATAGACAGCAGGAAAGAGATTAGTGGGAAACAGATACAACAGCCCAAGAGATGAGGCTGTCTTCACAGTGGCAAGGGAGTCAGGGGCTACTGGAGACAGAGGGACAGAGAAGAGGGAGGAAGACAGATGGAGGCACCTGCACCAGGGGATATGGGCACAGAAAAGACACGGAGATGCAGAGAGGGAGGAGAGAGACAGACACGGGGAGGGGAACCCTCACTCATTCCAGGTGCCATGGATGGGATGATAAAGAGAGATGCCTTCTAAACTCACAACTTCTCTTTCTAGGAAACCACAGAAAACCTTCCCTCCTGGCCCACCCAGGTCCCCTGGTGAAATCAGGAGAGAGAGTCATCCTGCAATGTTGGTCAGATATCATGTTTGAGCACTTCTTTCTGCACAAAGAGGGGATCTCTAAGGACCCCTCACGCCTCGTTGGACAGATCCATGATGGGGTCTCCAAGGCCAATTTCTCCATCGGTCCCATGATGCTTGCCCTTGCAGGGACCTACAGATGCTACGGTTCTGTTACTCACACCTCCTATCAGTTGTCAGCTCCCAGTGATCCCCTGGACATCGTGGTCACAGGTGAGAGTGTCTAGACATTGTTCTCATTGTCACTGGGACACAGAGTGAATGATCCAGGACTTGGAACCCCCAGGTGGTCATGAGGAAGATAAGTGTGGGATTCTTACGGAAAGAGAGTGACTTGGTGAGGTCTGTACCAACAGAGACAGAGAAACAGGAGACATAAGTACAGAACAGTTGTCATAACAGAGGACAGACACAGGGGCCATACAGGGAGGTAGAAAAGAGAGAAAGAGGTAAAGGAGACACTCAGACAGACAGACATGTCCCAGAGAGAGGTGTCCTTCCATGCTGACTTTGCTCAGAGACCTGGCACAGGTTAGAAGTTTCATTTCTGTTTTACCTCCACAAAGTGTTCCTACCAGAAGAACCCAAGGACACCCATATTTCTGACCTGAGTTGGGCCCTGTGGCCTCAGGCCTTGTGCCACCTACAGATGCCGTGTTTATTCTGACACCTCTGCCTTCCATGCAATGGAGAGTAATCATCCCAGGATATCATGGCCCCTGAACACCAACCCCTGTATGCTGTGTGAACTTGGGGTCCCCAGACTGGATTCTGAGGCTCATATTCCAAATAATCCCACATATGATAGGATCGCTGAGAGACACAGAGAAAAATCAGGGACACCAAAAAGCAAAGACATAAACACACACAAAATGAGCCAGAAGAAGGAGATTAAGAGATTCACAGACACATAAAAAGAAAGAAAAGAGGGCAGAGTGGAGAGAATGATGGAAAGGAGGAGAGAAAAGCCCCAAAATCAGAACCCTGAGGGAGGGACACAAAGACAGAGAAAGATAAATATGTGGGGATGGATTGCAGAGATTCCAAATAGAACTAGAGAGACTGAGAGGCAGAGAAAGACAAGGAGACGGAGAGAGAGAGATGATAGATGGATAGATAGACGTAGATAGATGATAAATAGGTAGATGATAGATAATGGATTGGTTATAGATACATAGATGATGACTGATAGATGATACATAGAGATGACGATGATGATGATAGACACATAGATATATACATAGATGATACATAAATAGAGACAGAGAGGCAGACAGAGAGGTAATAGAGAGAGAGATAGATGATACATATATAGATAATAGATGATTGATGGATAGATAGACAGACAGACAATTGATAGAGAGATAGATAAGTGATACATAAATATAGATGATAGATAATTTGTAGATAGACACAAAATAGATTAATAGATAGAAATGTGCAGAAAGTTATGAACAAGACAGAAAGTGAGAGACTCAAAATTAAAGAAAAAGGAAGATCAAGTCAACCAATCCAAGGAGGGTCAGAGAGAATAAAACAATCCAAAAAGGGAAAACATACCTCAGGGTGGGGAATTGAGGTCATAGACCTAGAGAGACAGAAAAGGTAGAAGGAGGAAACAGATATGAAGAGAGATGGGGTGGAGGGTGAGAGAGAGAGAGAGAGCATTAGGTCATAGAGCAGGGGAGTGAGTTCTCAGCTCAGGTATGAGGGGAGCTATGACAAGGAAGAACCTCCCTGAGGAAACTGCCTCTTCTCCTTCCAGGTCCATATGAGAAACCTTCTCTCTCAGCCCAGCCGGGCCCCAAGGTTCAGGCAGGAGAGAGCGTGACCTTGTCCTGTAGCTCCCGGAGCTCCTATGACATGTACCATCTATCCAGGGAGGGGGGAGCCCATGAACGTAGGCTCCCTGCAGTGCGCAAGGTCAACAGAACATTCCAGGCAGATTTCCCTCTGGGCCCTGCCACCCACGGAGGGACCTACAGATGCTTTGGCTCTTTCCGTCACTCTCCCTACGAGTTGTCAGACCCGAGTGACCCACTGCTTGTTTCTGTCACAGGTGAGAAAAGCCCATATCTCTCTCATGTCCTATGATCCTAAATCCTTAGCTAAGGAGCTTCCTGCTGATGATGGAGAAAAGCATGGACAGATGCAGAGAGAAGACACAGCAGGTGTGAGGGCGGAGTCAGGGCGCAGGATGGCAGACAGGGCACCTCCAAACCCTCCTTCATGGCCTGCATGGAGGCCTCCGATCAGGGCTCCAGGCACCCAGGCAGATGGAGAAAGCGGTCAGGACAGACCCAGAGAAGGGGAGACTGGGCTTAGTTTCGGGAGATCAGAGGTTCCCTCAGCCCCTCAATCTTATCCATTTCCCAGAAGCCCATCATGGCCTCTCACCCACACAGAGAGATGTCATCACCAGCAACCCCTACACCCTTTTCTTTTCATTTTCAAAAATATTTATTGAGGTTAAATGTAACTATATAATTTACCACCTTTACCATTTTTAAAAGTAAAATCTAGTGGTCATAAATACCTTTATATGCTGGGTGTGGTGGTTCACGGTTGTAATCTCGGCGCTTTGAGAGGCCAAGGAAGGTGGATCATTTAAGATCAGGAACTCGAGATCACCCTGGCCAACATGTGGGAAATTCATCTTTACTAAACAGACAAGAAAAATTAGCCGAGCATGCCGGCATGCACCTGTAGTCCTAGCTACTTGGGAGGCTGAGGCAGGAGAAGCACTTAAAGCCAGGAGGCAGAGGTTGCACTGAGCCGAGATCATGCCACTGCACTGCAGCCTGGGAGACAGAGAGAGACTCTGTTTCTAAATAAATAAATACATCTATATTCTTTTTTTTGTTACCCTCCACCCTTCCCTTCCTGGCCTCTGGTGTCCACCATTGTATTCTCCACCTTCATGAGATCCACCTTTTATCTCCTGCATGTGGTGAGAAATGGGAATCTTTGTAATGACCTCCAGTTCCATCCATGTGGCTGCAAATGACAGGATGTTATTGTTTCTATGGATGAGTAGTCTCCACCGTGTGTGTGTACTACAGTTCTCTATCCATTCACCCACTGATAGGCAGGTAGGTTGACTCCACATCTTGGCTACTGTGAACAGTGCTGGAACAGTCATATGAGTGCAGATATCACTTCGATACACTGATGTCCTTTCCTTTGGATATAAACCCAGTAGTGAAATTGCTGGACACTATGAAAGTTCTCTTTTTTTTTTTTCCTTTTTTGAGAAAGAGTTTCCCTCCTTAGTCCAAGCTGGAGTCTAAGTGGTGAGATCTTGGCTCATTGCAACCTGTGCCTCCTAGGTTCAAATGATTGTCCTGACTCAGCCTCCCTAGTAGCTGTGATTACAGGTGCACGCCACCATGCCTGGCTAATTTTTGTACTTTTTTAGCACAGACGGGATATCCCAATTTTGGGCAGGCTGCTCTCAAACTCCTGACCTCAAGTGAGGTGCCTGCCTCGGTTTCCCAAAGTGCTGAAGTTACAGGCATAAGCCACTATGCCCAGCCTCCTTTTAGTTTTTTAAAGAATTTCCATACTTTTCTCCATAATAGTTGTACTAATTTACATTCCTACCAACAGGGTACCAGGGTTCTCCTTTCTCTACCATCTTGCCAGCATTTGTTTTGCCTGTCTTGCAGTAAAAGCCATTTTACTTTACTTTATTTTATTTATTTATTTATGTTGAGATGGAGTTTCACTCATAGTCGCCCAGGCTGGAGTGCAAGGGTGTGATCTCAGCTCACTGCAACCTCCGCCTCCCGCGTTCAACTGATTCTCCTGCCTCAGCCTCCAAAGTAGCTGGGATTACAGGCATGTGCCACCACGCCTAGCTAATTTTTGTATGTTTAGTAGAGAGGGAGTTTCTCCATGTTGGTCAGGCTGGTCTCCCGACCTCAGGTGATCCGCCCACCTCCGCCTCCTGAAGTGCCGGAATTACAGGCGTGAGCCACCGGCCTAAAAGGCATTTTAATGGGATGAGATGAAAACTCATCGCGATTGTAATTTACATTTCTCTGATGATGAGTGATGCCGAGTACTTTTTCATATACGTGATCGCCATTTCTATGTTTTGTTTGTGGAGAAATGTCTCCTCATGACTTTTGCTCTTTTTTTGAATTAAATTGTTTTATTGAGTTGTTTGAGCTTCTTATATTTCCAGTTATTAATCCCGTCTCAGATGAATAGTTTGCAAATATTTGCTCCTATTTTGTCGGTTGTCTCTTCACTTTCTTGGTTTATCTTTTGTGGTGCAGAAGTTGCTTGGTTTGATGTAATCCTAATGGTCTATTTTTTGCTTTGATTACTTGTGTTTTGAAGGTTTTAAACAAAATGTCTTTCGTCAGACAAATGTCTTCCCCATTATTTTCTTCTACATGTTTCATAGGTTCAGGCCTTAGACTCATGTTTTTAATCCATTTTCATTTGATTTTTGTGTAAGGTGACAGGTATAGATGCAGTTTTATTCCTCTGCATGTAGATATCCAGTTTTCCCCACACCATTTATTGAAAAGACTGTCCTTTCCTGATTGTAAGTTCTCGGCACCTTTGTCAAAGTCCATTAAATGGGCTGGGTATGGTGGCTCACACCTGCAATTCCAGCACTTTGGGAGGCCGAGGCGGATGGATCACCTGAAGCCAGGAGTTCAAGACCAGGCTGGCCAACAGAGTGAAACCTCGTCTCTACTAAAAATACAAAAATTAGCTGAGCATGGTGACCAGTGCCTGTAATACCACTACTCGGGTGTTTGAGGCAAGAGAATTGCTTGAATCCAGGAAGTGGAGGTTGCATTGAGCTGAGATTGCACCTCTGCACTCCAGCCTGCATGACAGAGCAAGATTCTATCACACACACACACAAAAAAAGCCATTGGATGTAAATGCATGGATTATATCTGTGTTCTCCATTCTGTTCCATTTTTTATGTGCCTTTCTTTATGCCAATGTCATGCTGTTTTGCTTACTACAGCTCTGTAACATATTTCTAAGTCAGGTAGTGTGATGCTCCTGTTTTCTCTTTATACCTTCAAGTCTCAAGACAGTGGGCATCGCACACAAAAATTATGGAGAAGAGGATCCCAAGACTCCCAGGGTCCAACATTAGATAACAGAGTGTTGGCCATGAACCAACCTCAAAGATTTCCATTGAGTAGAGGACAAGCACCCTCATTTCCTCACATCTCTCCTGTCCCGTGTTCTAGGAAACCCTTCAAGTAGTTGGCCTTCACCCACAGAACCAAGCTCCAAATCTGGTGAGTAAAGGACCCCTCTTATCTCTGCTTTTGGAAACCTGGGGAGGTGGAAGCCTTGGATGCAAGTGTTGGCTCAAACCTCCCAGCTCTGTGAATGAGGGCCTGTCTTCCACCATCTCTGAACTCCAGACACTCCAACAGTGAAAGGGATCTAGGGCCACCAAAGGGCTCAGCGAAGTCTCTTAACCTTTAATATCCTGCAGGTGAGACCTCCTACAAGCTAGAAGAATGATTGCCAATCTGACATCCTTCTCAGGAAACATGCAGTGTTTTTTCTTCCTGCATTCCTAACTGGAGGATAAATTCCTGGGGACTTGAGAGAGGGAAGGGAAGGGAACATCTGATGAGGGCGAGGTGTTTTAGAGAAGTTCCACTTGCCAAGGAATGAATTACTGTTGGTCATGAAGCAACCCTGGCTGACTCAGCAGAGCAAGAGCCTTGCCGTAATAGAGAACAGAGCTCATGCACGCACACTTCGACTCACTGACTCATTCAGCCACAGCCCCATGCTCAGGCTGTGCAGTTGGAATCCTTTCCTATTGTTGCCATAACAAATTTCCACAAGATTCGTGGGTGAAAACAAAGCGGCTTTTTAATTATCTTACAGTGCTGTAGCTCAAAGTATGAAGTGCATCTCACTGGGCTAAAAACAAGGTGACAGCAAGGCTGCCTTCCCTTGCCTGAGGATTCCAGGCAAGAATCTGCTTCTCACTTGTCCCATCTTATAAAGGCTCCCAGTTCCTTGGCTCCTGGTCCCCTTCCTCCTTCCTCAAAGCCCACAAAGGCTGGTCACATCTCACATGGCATCACTCAGACCCTTCTTCCTTACCACACCTCTTTCTCTGAATGCTGCTCTCCCTTCTTCCTTATCTTTTGAAAACTTGGGGATTCTATTGGGTTCACCAAGATGAAAATCCATCATAATCTCCCGGAAATCATTCAGGATACCCTTGTTTTAAGTTCAGCTGACTAGCAACCGTAATTCCATCTGCAATCTTCATTCCTTCTTTCCATGTAAAATAACATATTCACAAGCTATGGAGGCCAGGACAGGGACATTTTGGGGTGGGACAGCATTCTCCTGCCTTCCACGAACGGTGAACAAGATGCATTTGGCCTCTGCTCTTGGGACACTGATATTGCAGATGGTTAAATGGGAGGGCAGAAAATGAATGCACAAGTGGACCAATAAATGAATGATCCATTGGGAAGCATCTGTGTATGAAATCTATTTGTTTGTTCGTTCATTTATTTATTGAGACAGAGTCTCCCTCTGTCTTCCAGGCTACAGTGCAGTGTCACGATCTTGGCTCACTGCAACCTGCGTCTCCTGGATCCAAGTGATTCTCCTGCCTCCGCCTCTCGAGTAGCTGGGATTACAGGCAACTGCCACCATGCCCGGCTAATTCTTTTTGTATATTTTTTGTAGAGAGGATGTTTCACCATATTGGCCAAGCTTGTCTGAAACTCCCAACCTCAAGTGATCCGACCATCTCAGCAACCCAAAGTACTGGGATTACAGGCGTGAGCCACTTTGCCCAGCCAGAATTCAAAATAAATAATAGATAATGCTGAGTGTATAATTTTGGGTGACAGAGAAGGTCTCACTAATCAGATATTTGTGACATTAATGAAAAACACGGATTGAACCCCTGAAAGATTGGCGGAAGGATTTTCCACACAGCTGTCAGCTGTGAAGGCACAAAGGTGAAAACAATCTGATGTTGAAGGAAGAGGCTCTGACTCAAATGCTGGGAATGAAGTGGGGAGAATGACAAGACGACTGTGGAGAGACGGAGAGCACACTGGGTACACAGGAAACTAAGGAGCAACAAGGAGTGTGTGTTTGACACTCACAGCCCTTGGATTCACCTCGGGGTAACCAGGAATCCCTACATGATTAATAGTGACTGACATGAAAATAAGGGAGGCCCAGGTGCGTAACTGGAATCTAGGAGACCGTGGAAAAGGCAATTCCCGCCCCACTGGTGAAATGTGGTGCTGATTTAGACCCTAAGTGGATGAAGCAGATGGATATAAGCTATGCTTGGGAGGTAGAATCATTTGCAGGGAGGGCTTGCTGGGTTTGAGTTTCCTAGTTGTTTAATCCTTGCTAAATTAATTTCTTTCTGAGATTTATTCCTCCTACACATAAATCAATACCTGGCAAAGGAGTGACAGATATATGAGGGGTGGTGGAAATGAAGGGACCTATTATAGCATAGTATACAAGTCTGTGAACGGTGGCTCACTCCTGTAACCCAGCACTGCAGGAGGCTAAGGCCAGTGGATTCCAAGAAGTCAGGAGTTCGAGACCAGCCTGGCCAACATGGTGAAACCCTATCTCTACATGGTGAAACCCTATCTCTCCTAAAAATACAAAAATTAGCCGAGCATGGTGGTGCATCCCTGTAATCCCAGCTCCTGCTCTGGAGGATGAAGCAGGAGAATGACTTCAACCCAGGAGATGGAGGTTGCAGTGAGTGGAGATCGCATCACTGCACTCCAGCCTGGGTGACACAAGGAGACTCCATCTCAAAAAATAAAAATAAGAAATGCATAAATATAATAAAACACACACGAATGACAAAGGCACCTGAATTCCCATCATCATTTTTCTATTTCTCTATAATTACTTCTTTGATCCTTTATCTTATCCATTAGGCAATCAGCCTAAAACCTCTTCCGTATTTGGCTTTCTGTGAGCATGAGATCATATAGAAAATGTGAAAGCCCGCTGAATCCTCCAGCACAAATCCTGGAATAGAGAAAGTGCTCTCGTCATCACAAAAAAAACTTGCCCCCTCACCCAAATCCCCCATCTCACCCCTACTTCCAATCACCTGTGGAGATACAGATAGATCATGGGGAGGTAAATGCTAATACTCCTTGGAGTGAGTCCAGATCTTGGAATCAGAGATCAGCGACAGCACTAGCTCCTGCTCCCCTTTCCTACTAATTCACAGGAGGACAGGTGGTATTGAAGCAATAGATAGTCGAGGGGGTGGTCCTTCCCCCAGCCTCTCAGGTAGAACAGCAGCCTAACATGTGTCTCCCGAGATCACAAAGAGTAGCACATTTCACACGGGCTTCAACACTATTTTCTGGCTGTTTGACATAAGAGAATTCTACTTCGCTTTTTTTATATTGATTTCACTTTTGTTTCCTTTTCTTGGAGAATGCAAGTTGTTTAACTCAAGAATGCCGTGGATGTAGAAATCCTAAAGCACATTCGCTGTGTATCAATCCCAGTCCAGTCTTCCCAGAGAAGACTCTAAACACCTCCTGGACTGCACCTGGGCCTATGCCAATTCCTATCACTCACCGTCACTCCAGGGAGACAGAACACACAGAGAATACGTTACATAGGCAGGTTCATTACTAACAGATAAGCAGCGAGTGACAACAGAAGCCTACATTTCAATGTGAGCCAGTTCCCCAAGGCTCAGAAAAGCTGCTCGAGACATGTGGAGTCACCCCATTTGCAGTGTAGCTGGGGGAAGCCAGAAAGCAGCCCAGCCTGGGTTTTGTACCCTGGAGCCACAGGAAGCACTCAGCTAAAGCACTGCATGACGTCCTCCTCCAGGAAGAACAGGAAGACAGCCCAGGCTGTTCTGGGACGATCCTCCTGATCTCAGGACTTTGCTGTCTTAGTCCATTTTTGTTGCTCTAAAGGAACACTTGAGCCTGGGTAACTTCTAAAGAAGAGATTGGTTTGCCTCACCATTCTGCAGGCTGTACTGGAAGCATGGCACCAGCATCTATTTCTTATGATGGCCTCAGGCCGCTCCCACTCTGGCAGAAGGGAAGGAGGGTCTGTCTGTGCAGAGACCACAGAGATCACACGGCAAGAGAGGGAGCAAGGGGGAGGGGGAGCAATGGAGCTTCCAAGCTCTTTTTAACAACCAGCTCTCCAGGAACTAATAGAGAGGGAACTTGCTAACCCCGTCTCCTTGGGACAGCATTGATCTGTTCATGATGGATCCACCTCCATGACCCAAACACCTCCCAAGAGGCCCAACCTCCCACACTGGGGGTTAAATTTCAATGTGAGGTTTGAAGGGGTCAAACATCTCAACTAAAGTAGTTGTATCCTCAGCACGTTCCATGGTTACTATGAGAGCTATAACTGAGAAAGCAGGAGGAAGCTAGGTCTCCCGCCATCTGGGTGCTTGTCCGAAAGAGATGCTGTAAGTGGTTACCTGTCAATCAAGAAATGCAAGACAATTCATATAGAGAAACTGCTATGATTAGCTTCTTACTGGTGTCTCCTCTTCTTCCAGGTAACCCCAGACACCTGCACATTCTGATTGGGACCTCAGTGGTCATCATCCTCTTCATCCTCCTCCTCTTCTTTCTCCTTCATCTCTGGTGCTCCAACAAAAAAAGTAAGTCTCACGCGGCACAGGCCAGAGAGCTCAGGGCCATGTGGGGAAGCAGGATGGGAGCACACAGCTGTGTGTTCCTCACTGGCAGGATGGTCCCTGGCCCAAGACAGGAGCCACAGAGGCAGGACTTTCTAGAGAGAGCACCAGACTCCCTGCCCCTGCCTTCAGCTCACAGACCGTTGCCTGATTCTGAACTGTATCCTCATGTCCCCTGCAGCCACTCACATCCAGGAGAAGGTTCCATGACAGGCAGAAAGTGGGAGACAGAATCAATGGGATGGGAACTCAGAGCTATTCATGGGATGGGTCCTTGAGCTCAGAGAGATAGAATGTCTGAGTCTGCTGTTGGCAACTGAGGGACCTCAGGCACCTATGGCCTCCCCCTGTTTGTTGGTATCTGCTTATGAAATGAGGACCCAGAAGTGCCCTCCGAGCTCTTTTGTTGACTTCCGTCTCCTACAGATGCTGCTGTAATGGACCAAGAGCCTGCAGGGAACAGAACAGCCAACAGCGAGGTAGGTGCTCCTCGGCCCAGCCTCATGGCTAGTGTTATTCCCAAACAGTCCTGGAAAACGTGAGCACCCTCCCTCACTCAGCATTTCCCTCCCTCACTCAGCATTTCCCTCTCTCCAGGACTCTGATGAACAAGACCCTGAGGAGGTGACATACGCACAGTTGGATCACTGCGTTTTCACACAGAGAAAAATCACTCGCCCTTCTCAGAGGCCCAAGACACCCCCTACAGATACCATCTTGTACACGGAACTTCCAAATGCTAAGCCCAGATCCAAAGTTGTCTCCTGCCCATGAGCACCACAGTCAGGCCTTGAGGGCGTCTTCTAGGGAGACAACAGCCCTGTCTCAAAACCGAGTTGCCAGCTCCCATGTACCAGCAGCTGGAATCTGAAGGCGTGAGTCTTCATCTTAGGGCATCGCTCCTCCTCACGCCACAAATCTGGTGCCTCTCTCTTGCTTACAAATGTCTAGGTCCCCACTGCCTGCTGGAAAGAAAACACACTCCTTTGCTTAGCCCACAGTTCTCCATTTCACTTGACCCCTGCCCACCTCTCCAACCTAACTGGCTTACTTCCTAGTCTACTTGAGGCTGCGATCACACTGAGGAACTCACAATTCCAAACATACAAGAGGCTCCCTCTTGACGTGGCACTTACCCACGTGCTGTTCCACCTTCCCTCATGCTGTTTCACCTTTCTTCGGACTATTTTCCAGCCTTCTGTCAGCAGTGAAACTTATAAAATTTTTTGTGATTTCAATGTAGCTGTCTCCTCTTCAAATAAACATGTCTGCCCTCATTGCTTCAGGTAATGTGACACTGTATTCGCTGAAAGAAACCGCTGTTATCATTACCATGTCCACATAACCCCATCTGTTCTCCGCTGGGTTCTCACCCCTGGACTCTGAGCTTCTGGAAGCAGGGTGGAGCCTCATTTGTCTCTGGGACTCCAATTTCCATCCAAAGATGCAGCACATAGGAGGTTCCAAGGATCGTGAATCACATGAACAAGTGATATTCTTACTCTCTGCAACCTGGAAAGCTGGCAGAGTCATTCCACGATGAAACATTTGTAGAGTCATAAGCCTTGCTAGTCTCATCTCCACGGGGACACATATCAACACATCATATTTCATACTATAAATATACAGTCGCTCCTCCATATCTGTGGGGTTTACAGGTGTTTATTGAACCAAGTGTAAATCAAAAATATTCAGAGAAAATGTCCACAAAGTTTCAAAATGCAAAACTATGTTGAATGGACACAAATGAGGCAGTGTGTAGGCTGTATCAGGAATTATAAGTAATCAAGAGATGATTTCATGTATACAGGAGGATGTGCATGGGTTATATCCAAATGCTGTGTCATTTTATGTAAGAGGCTTGAGCATCTGCAGATTTTGGTACCTGAGTGGAGATCCTGAAACCAATCACCCACGAATAGTAAAGGATGACCGTATATGACTTTTATTTCTCAATTTTAAATATAAATCATAAAAAATGTACAATAACTAGATAAAAAGTAAGAAGTGTTTTTATAGTGTGAGAATAAGTTTAGATTTATTTTTTCCTACGTGTAACCCTTTGGTTTAATATTATTTATTGAGAAGACATTCTATGCCACCTTAAACCACACGGCAGCCTTTGTCAACTCTAAAGGGACTGTGTGTACACGGATGTATTTTAGACACTGTTTCTGCTAAGGGGCTCTCTGTGTCCACACTCTTGAGGATGCTGCACTTCATGTAGCCTTATAAAACCCTTTAAATTTAGTAGCCAGAGCCCTCTAATTTGTTATTATAGGCTACTTGCTATTTTTTTTTCTTGAGGCGGAGTCTTGCTCTGTCGCCCAGGCTGGACTGCAGTGACACAATCTCAGCTCACTGCAACTTCCGCCTCCCAGGTTCAGGCGATTCTCGTGCCTCAGTCTCTTGAGTAGCTGGCGTTTCAGGTGCCTGCCACCAGGCATGGCTAATTTTTGAATTTTTAGCAGAGACGCGGTTTCACTGTGTTGGCCAGGCTGCTCTCAATCTCCTCATCTCAGTTGATCCGCCCACCTCGGCTTCCCGACCTGCTGGGGGAAACTTGATTTTCTATAGCATTATGTTACTGGATATTTCTGTAAAATTTAAAATGAGGGAGGCAGAGAGACAGAGAGAGAGCAAACTCCAAAGTTGGGACTCTGGAATCTTGAGTCATGAGACAAATTATAGATAAAACTACAAAAATCCAGAATTTACATGTGTGGTTTTTGCTGATAAAGTACAATTCTAAGATTGTAAATAATTGCATAATCCTTCCCTGGGAATTTAAATCATTTGAACTGGTTCTGCTGTAATACTAGAAATACAAGCATGAACAATTCTAATGGTTTATTAGTCACAATGACTCTGAAAACACTAATAATACCTATTAGATATTTTGCATATTACACAGGAAGAAGAGTTCGAATCTCAGATAAAAACAATAAAAATTCATGAAAAGTCTTTCATGTTAGCACAGATTTTAGGCATCTCATGTTTGGGAGGTTGGATCTAAGACGTGTTTTGAGTTGGTCATAGTGAAGGACGCGAGGTGTCAATTCTAGTGAGAGCAATTTCCAGGAAGCCATGTTCCGCTCTTGAGCGAGCACCCACTGGGCCTCATGCAAGGTAGAAAAAGCCTGCGTACGTCACCCTCCCATGATGTGGTCAACATGTAAACTGCATGGGCAGGGCGCCAAATAACATCCTGTGCGCTGCTGAGCTGAGCTGGGGCGCGGCCGCCTGTCTGCACCGGCAGCACCATGTCGCTCATGGTCATCATCATGGCGTGTGTTGGTGAGTCCTGGAAGGGAATAGAGGGAGGGAGCGTGGGGATGGAGATCTGGGCCCAGAGGTGGAGATATGGGCCTGGAGGTGGAGTTATGGGCCTGGAGTGGAGATCTGGGCCTGGAGTGGAGATCTGGGCCTAGAGATGGAGTGATGGGCCTAGAAGTGGAGATCTGCGCCTGGAGTGGAGATCTGGGCCTGGAGTGAAGATCTGGGCCTGGAGTGGAGATATGGGCCTGGAGTGGGGATAGGAACCTGGAGTGGAGAGAGGAACCTGGAGGAGAGATAGGAACCTGGAGGGGAGGTAGGAGCCTAGGGTGGAGATATGGGACTGGAGTGGAGATATGGGACTGGAGTGGAGATATGGGCCTGGAGTGGAGTTATGGGCCTGGAGTGAAGTTATGGGCCTGGAGGTGGAGATATGGGCCTGGAGTGGAGATATGAGCCTGGAGTGGAGATATGGTCCTGGAGTGGAGATATGGGCCTGGAGTGGAGATATGGGTCTGCAGTGGAGTTATGGGCCTGGAGTGAAGTTATGGGCCTGGAGGTGGAGATATGGGCCTGGAGTGGAGATATGGGACTAGAGTGGAGATAGGGGCCTGGAGGTGGAGATCTGGGCCTGGAGTGGAGATCTGGGCCTGGAGTGGAGATCTGGGCCTGGAGTGGAGATATGGGCCTGGAGTGGAGATATGGGTCTGCAGTGGAGATATGGGCCTGGAGGTGGAGATATGGGCCTGGAGTGGAGTTATGGGCCTGGAGTGAAGTTATGGGCCTGGAGGTGGAGATATGGGCCTGGAGTGGAGATATGGGACTAGAGTGGAGATAGGGGCCTGGAGGTGGAGATCTGGGCCTGGAGTGGAGATATGGCCCTGGAGTGGAGATATGGGCCTGGAGTGGAGATATGAGCCTGGAGTGGAGATATGGCCCTGGAGTGGAGATATGGGCCTGGAGGTGGAGATATGGGCCTGGAGTGGAGTTATGGGCCTGGAGTGAAGTTATGGGCCTGGAGGTGGAGATATGGGCCTGGAGTGGAGATATGGGACTAGAGTGGAGATACGGGCCTGGAGGTGGAGATCTGGGCCTGGAGTGGAGATATGGCCCTGGAGTGGAGATATGGGCCTGGAGTGGAGATATGAGCCTGGAGTGGAGATATGGCCCTGGAGTGGAGATATGGGCCTGGAGTGGAGATATGAGCCTGGAGTGGAGATATGGCCCTGGAGTGGAGATATGGGCCTGGAGTGGAGATATGGGCCTGGAGTGGAGATATGGGTCTGGAGTGGAGATATGGGCCTGGAGGTGGAGATATGGGCCTGGAGTGGAGATATGGGCCTGGAGGTGGTGATATGGGCCTGGAGTGTAGATATGGGCCGAGTGGAGATATGGTTCTGGAGTGGAGATATGGGCCTGGAGTGGAGATATGGGACTGGAGTGGAGATATAGGCATGGGGTGGAGACATGGGCCGGGAGTGGAGATATGGGACTGGAGTGGAGATACGGGCATGGGGTGGAGATATGTGCCTGGAGGTGGAGATATGGGCGTGGGTTGGAGATATGGGCCTGGAGTGGAGATATGGGCATGGGGTGGAGATATGGGTCTGGAGTGGAGACATGGGCATGGGGTGGAGATATGGGCCTGGTGTGTAGATATGGGCCTGGAGTGGAGATATGGCCCTGGAGTGGAGATATGGGCCTGGAGTGGAGATCTGGGCCTACGGTGAAGATATGGGCCTAGGATGGGGATATGGGCCTGGAATGGAGATATGGGCCTGGGTGTGGAGATATGGGACTGGAGTGGAGATATGGGCCTGATGTGGAGATATGGGCTTGGAGTGGAGATATGATCCTGGAGTGTAGTTATGGGCCTGGAGGTGGAGATCTGGGCCTGGGGTGGAGATATGGGCCTGGAGTGGAGATATGGGACTGGAGAGGAGATATGGGCCTGGAGTGGAGATATGGGCCTGGATTGGAGATATGGGCCTAGGGTGGAGATCTGAGCCTGGATTGGAGATGTGGGCCCGGATTGGCTATATGGGTCTAGGGTGGAAATATCGGCCTGGAGTGGAGATATGGGCCTGGAGTGGAGATATGGGCTTGGGGTGGGGATATGGGCCTGGAGGCTGGGTCTCTGCACAGCCGAGAGCACTGTTCTTGGGTGCAGGTAGGCACTGATGGTGAGTTTCCCTTCGGCCCAGGAAGGGGCTGGCTATCAAGACTCACAGCCCAGTGGGGGCAGCAAGGAAGGCCTTGTTTGCCTGCAAATGGATCTTCCATCATGATCTTTCTTTCCAGGGTTCTTCTTGCTGCAGGGGGCCTGGCCACAGGAGGGTAAGTCCTTCTCCAAACCTTAGGGTGTCATCTCCCCACATAAGAGGATTTTCCTGAAACGGGAGGGAAGTCCTGTCAGGGAGTCTCTTATAAACTAGGAAGAGGGGACCCTGGGGTGCTCGGCCCACAGTTCCGACCTTGCCTCCCTGGCCTCTCAACCCCTTGGCAGAGTCAAGTTGTGTGGGGACCAGGGTTGGACTAGGGTGTTCAAAGCTGGGTTGTGTGGTGGGGAAGTGGTAGGAACAGCAGATCCTCTGAGGACAAAGGTGTTACTCACACACTTCAGCGTTTCCATGATGGTAGGGGCTGCAGTGTGGCTGCTGTCATTCTACCAGAAGAGGTGGGAAACCACAGCCATGGCCCTGACATTCCAAATCCTCTGATGGGGGCTAAGTTTTTTATTTTCATTCAGGCAACTGCTGATATTCCATTCTCAAAGGACATGCCCTCCACTTCATGTCTACCCTGTGTTGTTTTATGTGAGTAATCTTACAGTATTAAAATCTAGTAGGAGTCTCTTACTCAGCACTTGCTCAAAGTTCTCAGCTGACACTTTTGTTGTACGGAGACACCTTGTCTTTGTGGGATGGGTCCTTCCTTTAGCCCTAGGCACCAAGGTGTGATAGCAGCCATAGAAATGTGGAAAGTGGGGAGAATCTTCTGAGCACAGGGAGGGAGGCACAGCTCCACATCCTCCTCTCTAAGGCGGCGCCTCCTTCACCCCAAGGTGGTCAGGACAAGCCCTTGCTTTCTACCTGGCCCAGCCTTGTGGTGCCTCCAGAACATGTGACTCTTCAGTGTCACTCTAATCTTGGGTTTAACAACTTCAGTCTGTACAAGGATGATGGGGTGCCTGTCCCTGAGCTGTACAACAGAATATTCTGGAAAAGCCTTTTCATGGGCCCTGTGACCCCGTCACATGCAGGGACCTATAGATGCCGGGGTTCACACACACACTCCCCCAGTGGGTGGTCGGCACCCAGCAACCCCCTGGTGATTATGGTCACAGGTCAGAGGGCTCCTGTCTGGGATTCTCCTTGTCCCACCTCCTGAATCCCAGAGCTTCTGGTAGGCATGTCCTTGAGGGTCCCATCACGCAGGCCCTAACTGTATTTGGGGTAAAGGGGGATTGAATACAGGGAAATGGGTGCTGTGGTGGGAAGAATAAGTGTCCCCAATGATGACTGCATTCTAATCCCTGGAGTCTGTGACTATTTATGTTATAGGGGAAGGGACTGAAGGGGAAGATGGAGCTCAGGTTGTTGATGAGTTGACCTTGAGATGGGGAGACAGCCTGGACTGTCCCGGTGGGCTCAGTATAATCACAAGGGTCCACATGAAAGGAGGAGGAAGAGGAGAGTGGGGATTAGAGCAGCGTAGTGGGAGACTCCATCAGCTTTGAAGGTGGATGAAGGCCATAAGCCATGAATGCAGGTGGCCTATAGAGGCTGGGAAAGTCAAGTAACTGATTCTCCTGAGTCTCCAGAGGGAACACAGCCCTGCAGATGCCTTGATTTTAGCCCTCGAAAAACAGCGTCCGCTTTCTGTCTCCAGAATCGGAGGGGGTCAGTGTGCTCTCTCCTGCTGCCATGCTTCTGATAATTTTCTACAGCAGCAACAGGAAACCAACACTGGAACCCAGGTCAAGGACAAGTTAAGAAAAGACACAAGGATAGCCAGGCATGGTGGCAGGTGCATGTAATCCTAGCGACTCGGGAGGCTGAGAGCAGGAGAATCGCTTGAACCCAGGAGACAGAGGTTGCAGTGAGCGTAGACCACACCACTTCACTCCAGCCTGGGCGAAGGAGTGAGACTCTGTCTCCAAAATTAATTAATTAATTAAAGAAACCAAACAAAGAGAAGGTTGGCTACACCGAGATCAGCAAGGGTGGGATGATGATGCTACCACCAGGCTCCATCCACATAGGGAGGGGTTGATACTCCTCAAATCAGCACGAGGAGCCAGCCTATGGAAACTGGCACCATGGAGAAGGCACAGACATGGCAAGAGTGGCTCCCAGTCCCCACCAGGAACAGGGTGTGTGGACACTGGTGCCTGCCTTACTGATCAGTTCATACCTCCTGCCAAGGATTCCAATTCGTCCAAAAGAGATTGAACCAGGCTGCTAAGAGCCGGGACGTGCAGCCTATCCTGCTTCCTCTTCCACTCCCACATAGACAGTAAGAAAGACATTAGTGTGAAATAGATACAACAGCCCAAGAGATGAGGCTGAGCCCAGTGGGAAGGGAATCACAGCTACTAGAGACAGAGGGACAGAGAAGAGGGAGGGAGACAGATGGAAGGACCTGCACCAGGAGTTATGGGCACAGAAAAGAACATGAAGACACAGAGAGGAAGCAGAGAGACAGACACCAGCGAAGGGAAGGCTCACTCATTCCAGGTGCCATGGATGGGATGATAAAGAGAGACACCTTCTAAACTCACAACCTCTCTTCCTAGAAGTCCACAGAAAACCTTCCTTCCTGGCCCTCCCAGGTCACCTGGTGAAATCAGAAGAGACAGTCATCCTGCAATGTTGGTCGGATGTCATGTTTGAGCACTTCCTTCTGCACAGAGAGGGGAAGTTTAACAACACTTTGCACCTCATTGGAGAGCACCATGATGGGGTTTCCAAGGCCAACTTCTCCATTGGTCCCATGATGCCTGTCCTTGCAGGAACCTACAGATGCTACGGTTCTGTTACTCACTCCCCCTATCAGTTGTCAGCTCCCAGTGACCCTCTGGACATGGTGATCATAGGTGAGAGTGTCCAGACATTCTTCTCATTGTCATTGGGATGCAGAGTGAATGATCCAGGACTTGGAGACCCAGGTGGTTGTAAGGAAGATGAGCTTGGTATTCTTATGGAGAGAGACTGACTTGGTGAGGTCTGTGCCAACAGAGACAGAGAAACAAGAGACACAAGTACAGACCAGGTGTCATAACAGAGGACAAACACAGGGGCCATACAGGGAGTTAGAAAAGACAGAAAGAGTTAAAGGAGACAGACAGACATGTCCCAGACAGAGGTGTCCTTCCATGCTGACTTTGCTCAGAGACCTGGCACAGGTTAGAAGTTTCATTTCTGTTTTACCTCCACAAAGTGTTCTCTACCAGGAGAACCCAAGGACACCCATATTTCTGACCTGAGTTGGGCCCTGTGGCCTCAGGCCTTGTGGCACCTACAGATGCCATGCTTATTCTGACACCTCTGACTTCCATGCAATGGAGAATAATCGTCCCAAAATATCATGGCCCCAGAACACCAACCCCTGTATGCTGTGTGAACTTGTGGTCTCCAGACTGGATTCTGAGGCTCACATTCCAAATAACCCCACATATCACATATGAGAGGATCACTGAGAAGCACAGAGAGAAATCAGGGACACCAAAAAGCAAAGACATAAACACACAGAGAAAGAGCCAGAGGAAGGAGATTGAGAGACTCACAGACACATAAAGAGAGAGAAGAGGGCAGAGAAGTGGAGAGAATGATGGAAGAGAGCAGAGAAAACCACTAAAATTAGAGTCCTGAGGGCGAGGCACAAGGGCATAGAAAGATGGAGATGTGGGGATGAATTGCAGAGATTCCAAAGAGAACTAGAGAGACCGAGAGGCAGAGCAAGACAGATGATAGATGGATAGATACAGATAGATGATGGATAGATATAGATAGATGATATATAGGTAGATGATAGATAATAGGTTATAGATACATAGATGATGATTGATTGATTCATTAATAGATGATACATAGAGATGATGATGATGAAGGTAGATGGATAGATAATACATAGAGATAGAGAGGAAGACAAAGAGAGAAATAATAGAGAGAGAGAGATGATACATATATATAGATAATAGATGATTGACGGATAGACAATTGATAGATAAATAGATGATATATAGATATAGATGACAGGTAGAGAATTTGTAGATAGGCACCGAATAGATAAATAGATGGATTGATAGATAATAGATAGAAATATGCAGAAAGTTATGAACGGGACACAAACTGAGAAACTCAGAGTTAAAAAAAGTAACATCAAGTCAACCAATCCAAGGAGAGCCAGAGAGAATAAAACAATCCAAAAACGGAAAACATAACTAGAGGTAGGGAAGTGAGGTCAGAGACCTACAGAGACAGAGAAGGTGGAAGGAGGAAATAGACATGAAGAGAGATGGGGTGGAGGGTGAGACAGAGAAAGAGAGCATTAGGCCATAGAGCAGGGGAGTGAGTTCTCAGGTCAGGTGTGAGGGGAGCTGTGACAAGGAAGATCCCCCCTGAGGAAACTGCCCCTTCTCCTTCCAGGTCTATATGAGAAACCTTCTCTCTCAGCCCAGCCGGGCCCCACGGTTCAGGCAGGAGAGAATGTGACCTTGTCCTGCAGCTCCATCTATCCAGGGAAGGGGAGGCCCATGAACGTAGGCTCCCTGCAGTGCGCAGCATCAACGGAACATTCCAGGCCGACTTTCCTCTGGGCCCTGCCACCCACGGAGGGACCTACAGATGCTTCGGCTCTTTCCGTGACGCTCCCTACGAGTGGTCAAACTCGAGTGATCCACTGCTTGTTTCCGTCACAGGTGAGGAAACCCCATATCTGTCCCATGTCCTATGATCCTAGAGCCTTAGCTGAGGAGCTTCCTGCTGATGATGGAGAGAAGCATGGACAGATGCAGAGAGAAGACGCAGCATGCCTGTGAGGGAGGGATCAGGGCGCAGGATGGCACACACAGCACCTCCAAACCCTCCTGCATGGCCTGCATGGAGGCCTCCGATTAGGGCTCCAGGCACCCAGGCAGATGTAGAAAGCGGTCAGGAGAGACCCAGAGCAGGGGAGACTGGGCTCAGTTTGGGGAGATCAGAGGTTCCCTCAGCCCCTCAACCTTACCCATTTCCCAGAAGCCCTTCCTGGCCTCTCACCCACACAGAGATGTCATCACCAGCAACCCCTACATCCTTTTCTTTTTGTTTGAAAAAATATTCATTGAGGTTAAATATACCTATATAGCTTACCACTTTTAACATTTTTTTTTTTTGAGGTGGAGTCTAGCTCTGTCTCCTATGCTGGAATGCAGTGGCACAATCTCAGCTCACTGTAACCTCCGCCTCCTGGGTTCAAGCGATTCTCCTGCCTCAGCCACCTGAGTAGCTGGTACTACAGGCGCCCATCACCACGCCAGGCTACTTTTTGTATTTTTAGTAGAGAGGGGGTTTCACCATGTTGGTCGAGCTGCTCTGGAACTCCTGACCACGTGATCCACCCGCCTCAGGCTCCCAAAGTGCTGGGATTACAGGCATGAGCCACCGCGCCCGGCCACGTTTACCAATTTTAAGTGTAAGGTCTAGTGGTCATAAATACATACATATAAATTTTTTGTTTGTTTGTTTTATCCTCCACCCTTTTCTTCCTGGCCTCTGGTAGCCACCATTCTACTCTCTATCTTCATGAGATCCACCTTTTAGCTCCTGTATATGGGTGAGAAATGGGAATCTTTGTAATGACTTCCAGTTCCATCCATGTGGCTGCAAATATCAGGATGTTATTCTTTCTATGGATGAGTAGTCTCCGCTGTGCGTATGTACTACATTCTCTCTATCCATTCATCCACTGATGGGCAGGTAGGTTGACTCCACATCTTGGCTACTGTGAAGAGTGCTGCACCAATCATACGAGTGCAGATATCACTTCGATACATTGATTTACTTTCCTTTGGATATAAACCCAGTAGTGAAATTGCTGGATACTATGAAAGTTCTCTTTTTAGTTTTTCGTTTGTTGTTTTGTTTTTGTTTTTGAGACAGTTTCCCTCTGTGCCCAGGCTGGAGTACAAGTGATGTGATCTTGGCTCATTGCAACCTCCGCTTCCTGGGTTCAAATGATTTTCCTGCCTCAGCCTCCCTAGTAGCTGGGATTACAGGTGCACGCCACCATGCCGGGATACTTTTTGGTTTTTTTTAGTGTACATGGGGTTTCCCCAGGTTGGCTAGGCTGCTCTCAAACTCATGACCTCAACTGAGGTGCCCGCCTCGGTCTCCCAAAGTGCCGGGATTACAGGCATGATCCACTTCATCCAACCTCTTTTTAGTTCTTTAAAGGACTTCCATACTTTTCTCCGTAATGGCTGTACTAATTTACACTCCTACCAACAGGGTACCAGGGTTCTCCTTTCTCTACCACCTTGCCAGCATTTCTTTTGCCTGTCTTGCAGCTAAAAGCCATTTTATTTTATTTCATTTTATTTTGAGATGGAGTTTCGCTCTTCTCACCCAGGCTGGAGTGCAGTGGTGCGATCTCGGCTCACCGCAACCTCCACCTCCCAGGTTCAAGCGATTCTCCTGCCTCAGCCTCCCGAGTAGCTGGAATTACAGGCACACGCCACCACGCCCGACTAATTTTTGTATTTTTAGTAGAGACAGCGTTTCTCCATGTGGGTCAGACTGGTCTCAAACTCCCGACCTTATGAGATTCGCCCACCTCGGGCTCTCAGAGTTCTAGGATGACAGACGTGAGCCACCTCGCCCGGCCTAAAAGCCATTTTAATGGGGTGAGATGAAAACTCACTTTGATTTTAATTCGCGTTTCTCTGATGATGAGTGATACTGAGCACTTTTTCGTATGTGGGGAAATTTCATGTCTTTTGCTCCTTTTTCAATTAAATCATTTGTTTTATTGAGTTGTTTGAGCTTCTTATACTTCTAGTTATTAATCCCGTCTCAGATGCATAGTTTGCACATATTTGCTCCCAATCTGTGGGTTGTCTCTTCACTTTGTTGGTTTATTTTTAGCGGTGCAGAAGTTGCTTAGTTTGAGGTAATCCCAATGGTCTATTTTTGCTTCGATTACTTGTGTTTTGAAGGTTTAAAACAAAATGTCTTCCTTCAGACAAATGTCCTGGAGCATTTCCCCAATATTTTCTTCTACGTGTTTCACAGGTTCAGGCCTTAGACTCACATCTTTAATCCACTTTCATTTGATTTTTGTGTATGGTGACAGGTAGAGGTGCAGTTTCATTCCTCTGCATGTAGATGTCCAGGTTTCCCTGCACTGTTTATTGAAAAAACTGTCCTTTCCTGATTGTGAGTTCTTGGCACCTTTGTCAAAGTCCATTGGATGGGCTGGGCATGGTGGCTAACACCAGCAACTTCAGCACTTTGGGAGGCCAAGGCTGGTGGATCACCTGAGGACAGGAGTACAAGATTACTCTGGCCGACGTGATGAAACATCGTCTCCACTAAAAATATAAAAATTAGCTGAGCATGGTGGTCAGCACCTGTAATACTACTACTCAGGAGTTTGAGGCAAGAGAATTGATTGAACCCAGGAGGCTGAGGTTGCAGTGAACCGAGATTGCACCTCTGCACTCCAGCCTGGGTGACAGAGCGAGACTCCATCTCAAAAGAAAAAATAAAAAAAATTGGATGTAAATGCATGGATTATATCTGTGTTCTTCATTCTGCTCCGTTGTTCTATGTGCCTTTCTTCATGCCAACATCATGCTGTTTTGCTTACTACAGCTCTGTAACATATTTTGAGATCAGGTAGTGTGATGCTCCTGTTTTCTCTTTATACCTTGAAGTCTCAAGACAGTGGGCGTCACATACAAAAATTATGGAAGAAAGGATCCCTGGACTCCCAGGGCCCAATGTTAGATAACAGAGTGTTGGCCATGAACCAAACTCAAAGATTTCCACTGAGTAGAGGACAGACACCCTCATTTCCTCACCTCTCTCCTGTCTCATGTTCTAGGAAACCCTTCAAATAGTTGGCCTTCACCCACTGAACCAAGCTCCAAAACCGGTGAGTACAGGACCCTCTTATATCCGCTTTTGGAACCCTGGGGAGGTGGAAACCTTGGATTCAGGCGTTGACTCAGCATCTCACAGCTCTGACATTGTACGCCTGTCTTCTACCATCTCCGAACTCCAGATACTCCAACAGCGAAAGGGATCTGGGCCCAACACAGGGCTCAGTGAAATCTCTTCATCTCTCATTTTATGGAGCTGAGACCTCCTACAAGCTAGAAGAATGATTGCCAATCTGACATCCTTCTCAGGAAAAATGCAATGTTTGTTCTGCTTGCATTCCTAACTGGAGGATAAATTCCTGGGGGCTTGAGAGAGGGAAGGGAAGCGAACATCTGATGAGGGCGAGGTGTTTTAGAGAAGTTCCACTTGCCAAGGAATGAGCTCCTGTTGGTCATGAAACAACCCTGGCTGACTCAGCAGAGCAAGAGCCTTGCCGTAACAGAGAACAGAGCTCATGCACGCACACTTTGACTCACTGACTTATTCAGCCACGGCCCCATGCTCAGGTTGTGCAGTGTGGAAGCTTTTCCTATTGTTGCCATAACAAATTTCCACAAGATTCGTGGGTGAAAACAAAACGGTTATTTAATTATCTTACAGTGCTCTAGCTCAAAGCATGAAGTGCATCTCACTGGGCTAAAATCAAGATGACAGCAAGCCTGCCTTCCCTCTGAGGATTCCAGGCAAGAATCTGCTTCTCACTTGTCCCATCTTATAAAGGCTCCCAGTTCCTTGGCTGCTGGTCCCCTTCCTCCTTCCTCAAAACCCACAAAGACTGGTCACATCTCACATGGCATCACTCAGACCCTTCTTCCTTACCACACCTCTTTCTCTGAATGCTGCTCTCCCTTCTTCCTCATCTTTTGAAAACTTGGGGATTCTATTGGGTTCACCAAGATGAAAATCCGTCATAATCTCCCGGAAATCATTCAGGATACCCTTGTTTTAAGTTCAGCTGATTAGCAACCATAATTCCATCTGCAATCTTCATTCCTCCTTTCCATGTAAAATAACATATTCACAAGCTATGGAGGCTAGGACAGGGACATTTTGGGGTGGGACAGCATTCTCCTGCCTTCCACAAATGGTGAACAAGATGCATTTGGCCTCTGCTCTTGGGACACTGATATTGCAGATGGTTAAATGGGAGGACAGAAAATGAATGCACAAGTGGACCAATAAATGAATGATCCATTGGGAAGCATCTGTGCATGAAATCTATTTGTTTGTTTGTTCGTTTGTTTATTGAGACAGAGTCTCCCTCTGTCTTCCAGGCTACAGTGCAGTGTCACGATCTTGGCTCACTGCAACCTGCGTCTCCTGGATCCAAGTGATTCTCCTGCCTCACCCTCTCGAGTAGCTGGGATTACAGGCAACTGCCACCATGCCCGGCTAATTCTTTTTGTATATTTTTTGTAGAGAGGATGTTTCACCATGTTGGCCAAGCTTGTCTGAAACTCCCAACCTCAAGTGATCCAACCATCTCAGCATCCCAAAGTACTGGGATAAAAGACGTGAGCCACTGTGCCCAGCCAGAATTCAAAATCAATAATAGATAATGCTGAGTGTATAATTTTGGGTGACAGAGAAGGTCTCACTAATCAGATATTTGTGACATTAATGAAAAACACGGATTGAACCCCTGAAAGATTGGCGGAAGGATTTTCCACACACAGCTGTCAGCCGTGAAGGCAGAAAGCTGAAAACAATCTGATGTGGAAGGAAGAGGCTCTGCCTGAAATGCTGGGAATGAGATGGGGAGAATGACAAGACAACTGTAGAGAGACGGAGAGCACACTGGGTACACAGGAAACTAAGGAGCAACAAGGAGTGTGTGTTTGACACTCACAGCCGTTGGATTCACCTCGAGGTAACCAGGAATCCCTACATGATTAATAGTGACTGACATGAAAATAAGGGAGGCCCAGGTGCGTAACTGGAATCTAGGAGACTGTGGAAAAGGCAATTGCCACCCCACTGGTGAAATGTGGTGCTGATTTTGACACTAAGTGGATGAAGCAGATGGATATAAGCTATGTTTGTGAGGTAGAATCATTGGCTGGAAAGGCTTGCTGGGTTTGATTTTCCTACTTGTTTAATCCTCGCTTAATTAATTTCTTTCTGAGATTTATTCATCCTACACATAAATCAATACCTGGCAAAGGAGTGACAGATATATGAGGGGTGGTGGAAATGAAGGGACCTATTATAGCATAATATACAAGTCTGTGAACGGTGGCTCACGCCTGTAACCCAGCACTGCAGGAGGCCAAGGCGGGTGGATTCCATGAAGTCAGGAGTTCCAGACCAGCCTGGCCAACATGGTGAAACCCTGTCTCTACTAAAAATACAAAAATTAGCCGAGCATGGTGGTGCATCCCTGTAATCCCAGCTCCTACTCTGGAGGATGAAGCAGGAGAATGACTTCAACCCAGGAGGTGGAGGTTGCAGTGAGTGGAGATTGCATCACTGCACTCCAGCCTGGGTGACACAAGGAGACTCCGTCTCAAAAAATAAAAATAAGAAATGCATAAATATAATAAAACACACACGAATGACAAAGGCACCTGAATTCCAATCATCATTTTTCTATTTCTCTATAATTACTTCTTTGATCCTTTATCTTATCCATTAGGCAATGAGCCTAAAACCTCTTCCCTATTTGGCTTTCTGTGAGCATGAGATCACATAGAAAATGTGAAAGCCCGCTGAATCCTCCAGCACGGATCCTGGAATAGAGAAAGTGCTCTGGTCATCGCAAAAAAAAACTTGCCCACTCACCCAAATCCCCCACCTCACCCCTACTTCCAATCACCTGTGGAGATTCAGATAGACCATGGGGAGGAAACATTAATACTCCTTGGAGTGAGTCCAGATCTTGGAATCAGAGATCAGCGACAGCACTAGCTCCTGTTCCCCTTTCCTACTAATTCACAGGAGGACAGGTGGTATTGAAGCAATAGATGGTGGAGGGGGTGGTCCTTCCCCCAGCCTCTCGGGTAGAACAGCAGCCTAACATGTGTCTCCCGAGATCACAAAGAGCAGCACATTTCACACGGGCTTCAACACTATTTTCTGGCTGTTTGACATAAGAGAATCTTGCTTCGCTATTTTTAATCGTGATTTCACCTTTGTTTCCTTTCCTTGGTGAATGCAATTTGTTTGACTCAAGAATGCTGTGGATGTAGAAATCCTAAAGCACATTCGCTGTGTATCAATCCCAGTGCAGTCTTCCCAGAGAAGACTCTAAACAAATCCTGGACTGCACCTGGGCCTATGCCAATTCCTATCACTCACCGTCACTCCAGGGAGACAGAACACACAGAGAATACGTTACATAGGCAGGTTCATTACTAACAGATAAGCAGTGAGTGACAACAGAAGCCTGCATTTCAATGTGAGCCAGTCCCTCAAGGCTCAGAAAAGCTGCTCGGGACATATGGAGTCACCCCATTTGCAGTGTAACTGGGGGAAGCCAGAAAGCAGCCCAGCCTGGGTTTTGTACCCTGGAGCCACAGGAAGCACTCAGCTAAAGCACTGCATGACGTCCTCCTCCAGGAAGAACAGGAAGACAGCCCAGGCTGTTCTGAGACATTCCTCCTGATCTCAGGATGTTGCTATCTTAGTCCATTTTTGTTGCTCTAAAGGAACACTTGAGCCTGGGTAACTTCTAAAGAAAAGAGATTGGTTTGCCTCACAGTTCTGCAGGCTGTACTGGAAGCATGGCACCAGAATCTATTTCTCGTGATGGCCTCAGGCTGCTCCCACTCTGGCAGAAGGGAAGGAGGGTCTGTCTGTGCAGAGACCGCAGAGATCACACGGCAAGAGAGAGAGTAAGGGGGAGAGGGAGCGATGGAGCTTCCAAGCTCTTTTTAACAACCAGCTCTCCAGGAACTAACAGAGGGGGAACTTGCTAACCCCGTCTCCTTGGGACAGCATTGGTCTGTTCATGATGGATCCACCTCCATGACCCAAACACCTCTGAAGAGGCCCAACCTCCCACAATGGGGGTGAAATTTCAATGTGAGGTTTGAAAGGGTCAAACATCTCAACTAAAGTAGTTGTATCCTCAGCACGTTCTATGGTTACTATGAGAGCTATAATTGAGAAAGCAGGGGAAAGCTAGGTCTCCCGCCATTTGGGTGCTTGTCCTAAAGAGACGTTGTATGTGGTTACCTGCCAATCAAGAAATGCGAGACAATTCATAAAGAGGAACTGCTATGATTAGCTTCTTATTGGTGTCTCCTCTTCTTCCAGGTAACCCCAGACACCTACATGTTCTGATTGGGACCTCAGTGGTCAAAATCCCTTTCACCATCCTCCTCTTCTTTCTCCTTCATCGCTGGTGCTCCGACAAAAAAAGTAAGTCTCACGAAGCAGAGGCCAGAGAGCTCAGGGCCATGTGGGGAAGCAGGATGGGAGCACGCGGATGTGTGTTCCTCACCAGCAGGATGGTCCCTGGCCCAAGACAGGAGCCACAGAGGCAGGACTTTCTAGAGAGAGCACCAGATTCCCTTCCCCTGCCTTCAGCTCACAGACCATTGCCTGATTCTGAACTGTATCCTCACGTCCCCTGCAGCCACTCACATCCAGGAGAAGGTTCCATGACAGGCAGAAAGTGGGAGATAGAATCAATGGGATGGGACCTCAGAGCTATTCATGGGATGGGTCCTTGAACTCAGAGAGATAGAATGTCTGAGTCTGCTGTTGGCAACTGAGGGACCTCAGGCACCTATGGCCTCCCCCTGTTTGTTGGTATCTGCTTATGAAATGAGGACCCAGAAGTGCCCTCCGAGCTCTTTTGTTGACTTCCGTCTTCTACAGATGCTGCTGTAATGGACCAAGAGCCTGCAGGGAACAGAACAGTGAACAGCGAGGTAGGTGCTCCTCGGCCCAGCCTCGTGGCTAGTCTTATTCCCAAAGAGTCCTGAAAAATGTGAGCACCCTCCCTCACTCAGCATTTCCCTCTCTCCAGGATTCTGATGAACAAGACCATCAGGAGGTGTCATACGCATAATTGGATCACTGTGTTTTCACACAGAGAAAAATCACTCGCCCTTCTGAGAGGCCCAAGACACCCCCAACAGATACCAGCATGTACATAGAACTTCCAAATGCTGAGCCCAGATCCAAAGTTGTCTTCTGTCCACGAGCACCACAGTCAGGCCTTGAGGGGATCTTCTAGGGAGACAACAGCCCTGTCTCAAAACCGGGTTGCCAGCTCCCATGTACCAGCAGCTGGAATCTGAAGGCATCAGTCTTCATCTTAGGGCATCGCTCTTCCTCACACCACGAATCTGAACATGCCTCTCTCTTGCTTACAAATGTCTAAGGTCCCCACTGCCTGCTGGAGAGAAAACACACTCCTTTGCTTAGCCCACAATTCTCCATTTCACTTGACCCCTGCCCACCTCTCCAACCTAACTGGCTTACTTCCTAGTCTACCTGAGGCTGCAATCACACTGAGGAACTCACAATTCCAAACATACAAGAGGCTGCCTCTTAACACAGCACTTAGACACGTGCTGTTCCACCTCCCTTCAGACTATCTTTCAGCCTTCTGCCAGCAGTAAAACTTATAAATTTTTTAAATAATTTCAATGTAGTTTTCCCGCCTTCAAATAAACATGTCTGCCCTCATGGTTTCGGTAACGAGACTCTTTTCTTGCCTAAGGCTTCCGGTGTTATCATTACCGTGTCCACATAACCCCATCTGTTCTCCATTGGGTTCTCAGCCCTGGACTCTGAGCTTCTGGAAGCAGAATGGAGCCTGATTTGTCTCTGAGACTCCAATTTCCATCCAAAGATACAGCACATAGGAGGCTCCAAGGATCGTGAATCACATGAACAAGTGATATTCTTACTCTCTGCAGACCTGGAAAGCTGGCAGAGTCATTCCACGATGAAACATTTGTAGAGTCATAGGCCTTGTTAGCCTCATCTCCACGGGGACACATATCAACATATCATCTTTCATAATATAAATATACAGTCGGTCCTCCATATCTGTGGGGTTTACAGGTGTTTATTGAACCAACAATAAATCAAAAATATTTTCAGAAAAAAATCCCCGAAGTTTCAAGAAGCAAAAAACTATGTTGAATCGACACAAATTGAGTGGCGTGTAGGCTGTGTCAGGAATTATAAGTAATCAAGAGATGATTTCATGTATACAGGAGGATGTGCATGGGTTCTATGCAATTACTATGCTATTTTTTTTTTTTGAGACAGTCTCACTCTCTCACCCAGGCTGGAGTGCAGTGGCATGATCTCAGCTCACTGCAACCTCCGCCTCCCAGGTTCAAGCGATTGTCTTCCCTCAGCCTCCCCAGTAGCCTCCCCTAGGATTACAGGCACGTGCCACCATGCACAGATAAATTTTTTTGTGTGTGTATTTTTAGTAGAGATGGGGTTTCAGAATGTTGGACCAGCTGGTCTTGAACTCCTGACCTCGTGATCTACCCAACTCAGCCTCCCAAAGTGCTGGGATTACAGGCGTGAGCCACGGTGCCCAGCTTCGCTATGCCATTTCATGCAAGGGGCTTGAGCATCTGCAGATTTTGGTATCTGAATGGGGATCCTGGAACCAATCACCCAGGAATAGTGAAGGACCACAGTATATAATTTTTATTTGTCAATCTTAAAAATAAAGCATAAAAAGTTTACAACAACAAGATAAAAAATAAGAAGTGTTTTTATAGTGTGAGGATAAGTTTAGATTTATTTTTTCCTACGTGTAACCCTATGGTCCTGTGTTATTTATTGAGAAAATATTCTATTCCACCTTAAACTACATGGCAGCCTTTGTCAACTATAAAGGGACTGTGTATCCACAGATGTATTTTAGACACAGTTTTCTGCCCAGTGGTTCTCTGTATCCCCTCTCATGAGGATGCTGCATTTCATATAAACTTATAGAACCCCTTAAAATTTGGTAACCTGAGTTCTCTGATTTGTTATTATAGGTTATTTAGTTTGCTTTTTTTTTTCTTTCTTGAGACAGACTCTTCCTCGGTCACCCAAGCTGGAGTTCAGTGGCTTGAGCTCAGCTCACTGCAGCCTCCGCCTCCCAGGTTCAAGCAATTCTCGTGCCTCAGGTTTAGTACTAGAAACTCATCAGGAAAATTAGAATGGCTTTTTGTCACAATTACTCTGATAATGTTAATAATACCTCTTAGATATTTTGCACATTACACATGAAGAAAAGTTTGAATCTCAGATAAAAACAAAAATACATCAAAAGTCTTTAATGTAAGCACAGAATTCAATCACCTCATGTGTGAGAGGTTGGATCTGAGACGTCTTTTGAGTCTGGTCATAGTGAAGGATGCAAGGTGGCAATTGTAGTCACAACAATTTCCAGGAAGCCATGTTCCGCTCTTGAGCGAGCACCCACTGGGCCTCATGCAAGGTAGAAAGAGCCTGCGTACGTCACCCTCCCATGATGTGGTCAACATGTAAACTGCATGGGCAGGGCGCCAAATAACATCCTGTGCGCTGCTGAGCTGAGCTGGGGCGCGGCCTCCTGTCTGCACCGGCAGCACCATGTCGCTCACTGTCGTCAGCATGGCGTGCGTTGGTGAGTCCTGGAAGGGAATAGAGGGAGGGAGAGTGGGGATGGAGATCTCGGCCTAGAGGTAAAGATATGGGCCTGGAGTGGAGATATGGGCCTGGAGTGGAGATATGGGCCTGGGTGTGGAGATATGGGCCTGGAGGTGTAAATATGGGCCTGGAGTGGAGATATGGGCCTGGAGGGGAGATATGGGCCTGGGTGTGGAGATATGGGCCTGGAGTGGAGATACGGGCCTGGAGTGGAGATATGGGCCTGGGGTGGAGATATGGGCCTGCAGGTGGAGATCTGGGCCTGGAGTGGAGATATGGGCCTGGAGTGGAGATATGGGTCTGATGTGGAGATATGGGCCTGGAGTGGAGATATGGGCCTGGAGTGGAGATATGGGCCTAGAGGGGAGATCTGGGCCTGGAGTGGAGATATGGGTCTGATGTGGAGATATGGGCCTGGAGTGGAGATATGGGTCTGATGTGGAGATATGGGCCTGGAGTGGAGATAGGGGCCTGGAGTGGAGATATGGGCCTGGAGTGGAGATCTGGGCCAGGAAGTGTTGATCTGGGCCTGGAGCCTGGGTCTCTCCACAGCTGAGAGCCCTGTTCTTGGCAGCAGGTAGCAGGGAGGCTAAGTTTACCTTCAGCCCAGCAAGGGCCTGGCTGCCAAGACACACAGTGCAGTGGGGGCAGCAGGGTGCCCTGGTTTGCCTGCAGTTGGATCGTCTATCATGATCTTTCTTTCCAGGGTTCTTCTTGCTGCAGGGGGCCTGGCCACTCATGGGTGAGTCCTTCCCCAAACCTTAGGGTGTCATCTCCCCACATAAGAGGATTTTTCTGAAACAGGAGGGAAGTCCTGTCGGGGAGTCTCTCATAAACTAGGAAGAGGGGACCCTTGGATACTCGGCCCACATTTCTGACCTCGCCCTCCCCGGCCTTTCTTTCCCTTTCCTGAGTCAAGCTCTGTGAAGACTGGGGTGAGACTGGGGTGCTCCAAGCTGGGGTGTGCAGGGAGGAAGTGGTGTCAGCAGCAGAGAAAGAGAGGGATGCAGTGCTAGGAACAGCAGGTCCTCTGAGGACAAAGGTATAACTGACACCCTCCAGCGTTTCCGTGACGGTAGGGACTGCAGTGTGGCTGCGGTCTTTCTACCAGAAGAGGGGGGAAACCACAGCCATGGCCCTGACATTCCAAATCCTCTGAGGGGGCTCAGTTCATGAATTGGCTGATATTCCATTCACATAGGACATGCCCTCCATGCCGTGTCTACTTTGTGTTGTTTTATGTGAGTAATTTTGCAGTATTAAAATCTAGTAAGAGTCACTTATTCAGCACTTGCTCAAAGTTCTCAGCTGACACTTGTTGTAGGGAGACGCCATGTCTATGTGGGGTGGGTCCTTCCTGTAGCCCTGGGCACCCAGGTGTGGTAGGAGCCTTAGAAAGTGGAAATGGGAGAATCTTCTGAGCACAGGGAGGGAGGGGCGGCTCCACATCCTCCTCTCTAAGGCAGTGCCTCCTTCTCCCCCAGGTGGTCAGGACAAACCCTTCCTGTCTGCCCGGCCCAGCACTGTGGTGCCTCGAGGAGGACACGTGGCTCTTCAGTGTCACTATCGTCGTGGGTTTAACAATTTCATGCTGTACAAAGAAGACAGAAGCCACGTTCCCATCTTCCACGGCAGAATATTCCAGGAGAGCTTCATCATGGGCCCTGTGACCCCAGCACATGCAGGGACCTACAGATGTCGGGGTTCACGCCCACACTCCCTCACTGGGTGGTCGGCACCCAGCAACCCCCTGGTGATCATGGTCACAGGTCAGAGGCTTTCTGTCTGGGCTTCTCACTGTCCCACCTCCTGAATCCCAGAGCTTCTGGTGGGGGTGTCCATCAGGGTCCCATCACCCAGGCCCCAACTGTATTTGGGGTCAAGGGGGATTGAATACAGGGGAAATGGGCGCTGTGGTGGGAAGAATCACTGTCGCCAATGATGGCTACATTGTAAACCCTGGAGCCTGTGACTATTTATGTTATAGGGCAGGGGACTGAAGGGGAAGGTGGAGCTCAGGTTGTTGATGAGTTGACCTTGAGATGGGGAGACAGCCTGGACTGTCCTGCTGGGCTCAGTGTAATCACAAGGGTCCGCGTGAGAGGTGGAGGAAGAGGGGAGTGGGGATTAGAGCAGTGTAGTGGGAGGGAGACGCTATCAGCCACTGTGGGCTTTGAAGGTGGAGGAAGGCCACTAGTCACAGAATGCAGGTGGCCTCTAAGGGCTGGAGAAGTCAAGAGAACTGATTCGCTGAGTCTCCAGAGGGAACGCAGCCCTGCAGATGCCTTGATTTCAGCACAGGGAGAACTGGATCCAATTTCTGTCCCCAGAAGTGGAAGGGGTCAGTGTGTTCTCTCCTGCTGCCATGTTTGTGATAATTTTCTGCAGCAGCAACAGGAAACCGACACAGGAACCCAGGTCAAGGACAAGCTAGGAAACCAAACAAGGATAGCCAGGTGTGGTGGTGGGCACGAGTAATCCAACGACTGGGGAGGCTGAGGCAAGAGAATCACTTGAACCGGGGAGGCAGAGGTTGCAGTGAGCCAAGACAACACCACTGCACTCCAGCCTGGGTGAAAAAGTGACTGTCTCAAAAATAAATTAATTAATCAATTAATTAAAGAAACCAAACAAGGAGAAGGTTGGCTACCGTGGGATCAGCAAGGGTGGGATGCTGATGCCACCACCAGGCTCCATCCACATAGGAAGGGGTTGATGCTCCTGGAACCAGCACCAGGGACCACCCTATGGAAGCTGGGGCCATGGAGAAGGCACAGACATGGCAGGAGAGGCTCCCAATCCCCATCAGGAACAGGGTGTGTGGACACTGATGTCTGCCTTACTGATGAGTTGATACCTCTGCCAGAGACTCCAATTTGTTCAAAAGAGATTGATTCAGGCTGCTGAGAGCCTGGACATGCAGCCTGTCCTCTTCCACCCCCACATAGACAGCAGGAAAGAGACTAGTGGGAAAGAGATACAACAGCCCAAGAGATGAGGCTCTCTTCACAGTGGGAAGGGAGTCAGGGGCTACTGGAGACAGAGGGACAGAGAAGAGGGAGGAAGACAAATGGAGGGACCTGCACCAGGGGATATGGGCACAGAAAAGACACGGAGACACAGAGAGGGAGGAGAGAGACAGACCTCTGGGAGGGGAACCCTCACTCATTCCAGGTGCCATGGATGGGATGATAAAGAGAGATGCCTTCTAAACTCACAACTTCTCTTTCTAGGAAACCACAGAAAACCTTCCCTCCTGGCCCACCCAGGGCCCCTGCTGAAATCAGGAGAGACAGTCATCCTGCAATGTTGGTCAGATGTCATGTTTGAGCACTTCTTTCTGCACAGAGAGGGGATCTCTGAGGACCCCTCACGCCTCGTTGGACAGATCCATGATGGGGTCTCCAAGGCCAACTTCTCCATCGGTCCCTTGATGCCTGTCCTTGCAGGAACCTACAGATGTTATGGTTCTGTTCCTCACTCCCCCTATCAGTTGTCAGCTCCCAGTGACCCCCTGGACATCGTGATCACAGGTGAGAGTGTCCAGACATTCTTCTCATTGTCATTGGGACACAGAGTGAATGATCCAGGACTTGGAACCCCCAGGTGGTCATGAGGAAGATAAGCGTGGGATTCTTATGGAGAGAGACTGACTCGGTGAGGTCTGTACCAACAGAGACAGGGAAACAGGAGACATAAGTACAGACCAGGTGTCATAACAGAGGACAGACACAGGGGCCATACGGGGAAGTAGAAAAGAGAGAAAGAGGTAAAGGAGACACTCAGACAGACAGACATGTGCCAGAGAGAAGTGTCCTTCCATGCTGACTTTGCTCAGAGACCTGGCACAGGTTAGAAGTTTCATTTCTGTTTTGTCTCCACAAAGTGCTTCTACGAGGAGAACCCAAGGACACCCATATTTCTGACCTGAGTTGGGCCCTGTGGCCTCAGGCCTTGTGGCATCTACAGATGCCATGTTTATTCTGACACCTCTGCCTTCCATGCAGTGGAGCCATAATTATCCCAGGATATCATGGCCCCAGAACACCAACCCCTAAATACTGTGTGTACTTGGTGTCCCCAGACTAGATTCTGAGGCTCATATTCCAAATAATCCTACATATAATAGGATCACTGAGAGACACAGAGATAAATCAGGGACTTCAAAAAGCAAAGGCATAAACACACAGAGAATGAGCCAGAGGAAGGGGATTGAGAGACTCACAGACACACAAAAAGAAAGAAAAGAGGGCAGAGGAGTGGAGAGAATGCTGGAAGGGAGGAGAGAAAAGCCCCAAAATCAGAACCCTGAGGGAGGGGCACAAAGACAGAGAAAGATAAAGATGTGGGGATGGATTGCAGAGATTCCAAATAGAACTAGAGAGACTGAGAGGCAGAGAAAGACAAGGAGATGGAGAGAGACAGATGATAGATGGATAGATAGATATAGATAGATGATAAATAGGTAGATGATAGATAATGGATAGGTTATAGATACATAGATGATGATTGATAGATGATACATAGAGATGATGATGATGATGATGATGAAGATAGATAGATAGAAGACACATATATAAATATATAGATACATAGATGATACATAGAGACTGACAGGCAGACAGAGAGGTAATAGAGAGAGAGAGAGATGATACATAGATACAGATAATACATAGATGATTGATGGATAGACAGATAGACAATTGATAGATAAATGATACATAGATATAGATGACAGATAATTTGTAGATAGACACAAAATAGATAGATAGATAATAGATAGAAATATGCAGAAAGTTATGAACAAGACAGAAAGTGAGAGACTCAGAATTATAGAAAAAGGAAGATCAAGTCAACCAATCCAAGGAGAGTCAGAGAGAATAAAACAATCCAAAAAGGGAAAGCATACCCAGGGGTGGGGAAGTGAGGTCAGAGACCTAGAGAGACAGAGAAGGCGGAAGGAGGAAATAGACATGAAGAGAGTTGGGGTGGAGGGTGAGAGAGAGAGAGAGCATTAGGTCATAGAGCAGGGGAGTGAGTTCTCAGCTCAGGTATGAGGGGAGCTGTGACAAGGAAGAACCTCCCTGAGGAAACTGCCTCTTCTCCTTCCAGGTCTATATGAGAAACCTTCTCTCTCAGCCCAGCCGGGCCCCACGGTTCAGGCAGGAGAGAACGTGACCTTGTCCTGTAGCTCCTGGAGCTCCTATGACATCTACCATCTGTCCAGGGAAGGGGAGGCCCATGAACGTAGGCTCCGTGCAGTGCCCAAGGTCAACAGAACATTCCAGGCAGACTTTCCTCTGGGCCCTGCCACCCACGGAGGGACCTACAGATGCTTCGGCTCTTTCCGTGCCCTGCCCTGCGTGTGGTCAAACTCAAGTGACCCACTGCTTGTTTCTGTCACAGGTGAGGAAAACCCGTGTCTGTCCCATGTCTTATGATCCTAGAGCCATAGCTGAGGAGCTTCCTGCCGATGATGGGGAGAAGCATGGACAGATGCAGAGAGAACACGAAGACTGGGTGTGAGGGGGGGGTCAGGGTGCAGGATGGCAGACAGGGCACCTCCAAACCCTCTTGCATGGCCTGCATGGAGGCCCATGGTCAGGGCTCCAGGCACCCAGGCAGATGGAGAAAGCGGTCAGGACAGACCCAGAGAAGGGGAGACTGGGCTCAGTTTGGGGAGATCAGAGGTTCCCTCAGCCCCTCAACCTTACCCATTTCCCAGAAGCCCATCCTGGCCTCTCACCCACACAGAGAGATGTCATCACCAGCAACCCCTACACTCTTTTCTTTTCATTTTCAAAAATATTTATTGAGGTTAAATGTAACTATATAATTTACCAACTTTACCATTTTTAAAAGTAAAATCTAGTGGTCATAAATACCTTTATATGCTGGGTGTGGTGGTTCACGGTTGTAATCTTGGCGCTTTGAGAGGCCAAGAAAGGTGGATCATTTAAGATCAGGGACTCGAGATCAGCCTGGCCAACATGCGGGAAATTCATCTTTACTAAACAGACAAGAAAAATTAGCCAAGCATGCCGGCATGCACCTGTAGTCCTAGCTACTTGGGAGGCTGAGGCAGGAGAAGCACTTAAAGCCAGGAGGCAGAGGTTGCACTGAGCCGAGATCATGCCACTGCACTGCAGCCTGGGAGACAGAGAGAGACTCTGTTTCTAAATAAATAAATACATCTATATTCTTTTTTTTGTTACCCTCCACCCTTCCCTTCCTGGCCTCTGGTATCCACCATTCTATTCTCTACCTTCATGAGATCCACCTTTTATCTCCTGCATGTGGTGAGAAATGGGAATCTTTGTAATGACCTCCAGTTCCATCCATGTGGCTGCAAATGACAGGATGTTATTGTTTCTATGGATGAGTAGTCTCCACCGTGTGTGTGTACTACAGTTCTCTATCCATTCACCCACTGATAGGCAGGTAGGTTGACTCCACATCTTGGCTACTGTGAACAGTGCTGGAACAGTCATATGAGTGCAGATATCACTTCGATACACTGATGTCCTTTCCTTTGGATATAAACCCAGTAGTGAAATTGCTGGACACTATGAAAGTTCTCTTTTTTTTTTTTCTTTTTTGAGAAAGAGTTTCCCTCCTTAGTCCAAGCTGGAGTCAAAGTGGTGCGATCTTGGCTCATTGCAACCTCTGCTTCCTAGGTTCAAACGATTCTCCTGACTCAGCCTCCCTAATAGCTGTGATTACAGGTGCACGCCACCATGCCTGACTAATTCTTGTATTTTTTAGCACAGACGGGATATCCCAATTTTGGGCAGGCTGCTCTCAAACTCCTGACCTCAAGTGAGGTGCCTGCCTCGGTTTCCCAAAGTGCTGAAGTTACAGGCATAAGCCACTATGCCCAGCCTCCTTTTAGTTTTTTAAAGTTTTTCCATACTTTTCTCCATAATAGTTGTACTAATTTACATTCCTACCAACAGGGTACCAGGGTTCTCCTTTCTCTACCATCTTGCCAGCATTTGTTTTGCCTGTCTTGCAGATAAAAGCCATTTTACTTTATTTATTTATTTATTTATTTATGTTGAGATGGAGTTTCACTCATAGTCGCCCAGGCTGGAGTGCAAGGGTGTGATCTCGGCTCACTGCAACCTCTGCCTCCCGCGTTCAACTGATTCTCCTGCCTCAGCCTCCAAAGTAGCTGGGATTACAGGCATGTGCCACCACGCCTAGCTAATTTTTGTATGTTTAGTAGAGAGGGAGTTTCTCCATGTTGGTCAGGCTGGTCTCCCGACCTCAGGTGATCCGCCCACCTCCGCCTCCCAAAGTGCTGGAATTACAGGCGTGAGCCACCGGCCTAAAAGGCATTTTAATGGGATGAGATGAAAACTCATCGCGATTGTAATTTACATTTCTGTGATGATGAGTGATGCTGAGCACTTTTTCATATACGTGATCGCCATTTCTATGTTTTGTTTGTGGAGAAATGTCTCCTCATGTCTTTTGCTCGTTTTTTAATTAAATTGTTTTATTGAGTTGTTTGAGCTTCTTATATTTCCAGTTATTAATCCCATCTCAGATGAATAGTTTGCAAATATTTGCTCCTATTTTGTGGGTTGTCTCTTCACTTTGTTGGTTTATCTTTGGTGGTGCAGAAGTTGCTTGGTTTGATGTAATCCTAATGGTCTATTTTTTGCTTTGATTACTTGTGTTTTGAAGGTTTTAAACAAAATGTCTTTCGTCAGACAAATGTCTTCCCCATTATTTTCTTCTACATGTTTCATAGGTTCAGGCCTTAGACTCATGTTTTTAATCCATTTTCATTTGATTTTTGTGTAAGGTGACAGGTATAGATGCAGTTTTATTCCTCTGCATGTAGATATCCAGTTTTCCCCACACCATTTATTGAAGACTGTCCTTTCTTGATTGTAAGTTCTCGGCACCTTTGTCAAAGTCCATTAAATGGGCTGGGCATGGTGGCTCACACCTGCAATTCCAGCACTTTGGGAGGCCGAGGCGGGTGGATCACCTAAAGCCAGGAGTTCAAGACCAGGCTGGCCAACAGAGTGAAACCTCGTCTCTACTAAAAATACAAAAATTAGCTGAGCATGGTGATCAGTGCCTGTAATACCACTACTCAGGAGTTTGAAGCAAGAGAATTTCTTGAATCCAGGAAGTGGAGGTTGCATTGAGCTGAGATTGCACCTCTACACTCCAGCCTGCATGACAGAGCAAGATTCCATCACACACACACAAAAGAAAGCCATTGGATGTAAATGCATGGATTATATCTGTGTTCTCCATTCTGTTCCATTTTTTATGTGCCTTTCTTTATGCCAATGTCATGCTGTTTTGCTTACTACAGCTCTGTAACATATTTCTAAGTCAGGTAGTGTGATGCTCCTGTTTTCTCTTTATACCTTCAAGTCTCAAGACAGTGGGCATCGCACACAAAAATTATGGAGAAAG